>NC_000005.10:111624958-111927988 GCF_000001405.40 Homo sapiens
GTGGCACTACACTGAGCTGTGCCTTGAGAAGGCAGGAGAAAGATGTCAACATTTTCAGTGTACAGTGTGCTATCAAGTCATGACACCACTGCCCATATCGGCTTCAAAAGACTTAGAAATGGAGATTTTTGTAGTCAATGATAAAAGTGGATAGGCTGAAGTGCATGAAATATTAAGAAAGCAACAGCTGTGTGCCTCTTAGTGCATCCTGTGAATCATTTAACATCCTACTCTGAGAACCACACCTTTTCAGGCCCCTTTATATGTGCTCTATGCTTTGGGATGAGCACTAAGTTTATTTTAAGATCACACAGAGATGGTCCAAGGTCCAAGGAGGCACTGTGTTTCCTAGAAGGTAAAGAAGCAGAGGTAAGCTGCCAGAGGCTATGGAAGTAAGGAGGATGGAGTAGACAATTTAAAATAGGCTGAGGCCTCTGTCCCTGCTTTAATCTTGTTCTTTTCTTTCTCCTAGTATTCAGCCTAACCATTGCACTCTTGTATCCAAGGCCTCATTAGATTCTCCTGGTAGACCTGAGTGAATTGTGTGAAGCTATTGCCAACATCATATTGTCTAAGAGAAAGTATACTAGGCTAAGTTTCTGGCTGGGAGTCTTGCCTTTTAGTTATCCTCTTCAATTGGCCCTTATGGTTTGTCATCTGTCATTTGGCTGCTCTGTGCCTCAGCAGCTACTTCCAGAGCTGAAAAGACAGATTTGTACAGAAGCATGTGCTTTCTGACCAAGATGGGGGTAACAGGGTATATACTTATCCTTCTGACTGGAACAACTAAAACAACAGACAAAATATGTGGAAAAAAATGGCTCTCAAGACACTGAACATCAAGCAATAAAGACAATGATCCCTGAGAAACAAAGACAAATTAAGTGACCACTATAATTGACCAGCTTACTGGGGAACATCTCCAGGCTGTGGTGCATGGAGGGAGACCAAGGCAAATCTCAGAGGTCTTCCTGAGTTAAAGAGATGAAGCTGGGTGTTTGAAGAAGCCAATGAAGTGGGAGTTTACAAGGTAGAGTACTGATATGGTTTGGCTGTGTCCTCACCCAAATCTCACCTTACACTGTAGCTCCCATAATTCCCATGTGTCATCAGAGGGACCTGGTGGGAGGCACTTGCATCATGGGGGCGGGTCTTTCCCATGCTGTTTTCATGATACTGTATAAGTCTCCTGAGATCTGATGATTTTATAAAGGGGAGTTTCCCTGCACATGCTCTCTTGTCTGCTGCCATGTAAGACATGACTTTGCTCCTCATTCACCTTCCACCATGATTGTGAGGCCTCCCCAGCCATGCAGAACTGTGAGTCAATTAAACCACTTTCCTTTATAAATTACCCAGTCTTGGATATGTCTTTATTAGCAGCGTGAGAACAGACTAATACAGTTAGTTGGTACCAGCAGAGTGAGGTGCTACTGTAAAGATACCCAAAAATGTGGAAGCAGTTTTGGAATTGGGAAACAGGCAGAGGTTGGAACAGTTTAGAGGGCTCAAAAGAAGACAGGAAAATATGGGAAAGTTTGGAATTTCCTAGAGATTTGTTGAATGGCTTTGACCAAAATGTTGATAGTGATATGAACAATAAAGTCAAAACTGAGATTGTTTCAGATGGAGATGAGGAACTTGTTGTGAACTGGAGCAAAGGTCACTCTTGTTATGCTTTAGCAAAGAGACTGGTGGATTTTGCTCCTGCCCTAGAGATCTGTGGAACTTTGAACTTGAGAGATGAGAGAGATGATTTAGGGTATCTGGCAGAATATGCTTCAAGAGGAAGCAGAGCATAAAAGTTTGGAAAGTTTGCAGCCTGACAATGTGATAGAAAAGAAAAGCCCATTTTTCTGAGGAGAAATTCAAGCTGGCTGCAGAAATTTGCATAAGTAACCAGGAGCCAAGTGTTAATCACCAAGACAATGGGGAAAATATCTCCAGGGCATGTCAGAAAGCAGCCCCTCCCATCACAGAACTGGAGGCTTAGGAGGGAAACATGGTATCCTGGGCCAGGTCCAGAGACCCCCTGCTGTGTGCAGCCTCTGGACTTGGTGCTATTCATTCCAGCACCTCCAGCCATGGCTAAAAGGAGCCAACGTACGGTTCAGGCCATGGCTTCAGAGGTTGCAAGCCCCAAGTCTTGGCAGCTTCCATGTGGTGTTGACCCTGTGGATGCACAGAAGTCAAGAATTAAGCTTTGGGAACCTCCACCTAGATTTCAGAGGATGTATGGAAACTCCTGGATGTCCAGGCAGAATTTTACTTCTGGGGCAGGGCCCTCATGGAGAACCTCTGCTAGGGCAGTGCAGAAGGAAAAAAATGTGGAGGTGAAGTCCCAACACAGTGTCCCCACTGGGACCCTGCCTAGTGGAGCTGTGAGAAGAGGGCCACCATCCTCCAGACCCTAGAATGGTAGATCCACTGACAGCTTGCACCATGTGCCTGGAAAAGCCATAGACACTCAAGATCAGCCTGTGAAACCAGCCAAGATTGGGGCTGCACCCTACAAAGCCACAGGGGCAGAGCTGCCCAAGGCCATGGGAACCCACCTCTTGCATCATTGTGCCCTGGATGTGAGACATGGAGTCAAAGGAGATCATTTTGGAACTTTAAGGTTTAATGACTGCCCTGTTGGATTTCAGACTTGCATGGGGCCTGTAGCCCCTTCATTTTGGCCAATTGTCCCCATTTGCCATGATATGTTTACCCAATTCCTGTACCCCCATTGTATCTGGGAAGTAACTAACTTGCTTTTGATCCTACAAGTTCATAGGCAGAAGGGACTTGCCTTGTCTCAGATGAGACTGTGGACTGTGGACTTTTGAGTTAATGCTGAAATAAGTTAAGATTTTGGGGGACTGTTGGGAGGGTATGATTAGTTTTGAAATGTGAGGACATGAGATTTGGGAAGGGCTGAGGTAGAATAAATAATATGATTTGGCTGTGTCCCCACCCAAATTTCATCTTGAATTGTAACTCTCATAATTTCCACATGTCATGGGAGGGAACTGGTAGGAGGTAACTGCACCATGGGGGCAGGGGGCTTTCCCATGCTGTTCTTATGTCAGTGAGTGAGTTCTCATGAGATTTGATGGTTTTATAAAGGGGAGTTCCCCTGCGCACACTCTCTTCCCTGCTGTCATGTAAGTCGTGACTCTGTTCGTCATTCACCTTCCATTATGATTCTGAAGCCTCCCTAGACATGTGGAACTGTGAGTCAATTAAACTTTTTTCCTTTATAAATTACTCAGTCTTAGATATGTCTTTATTAGTAGCATGAGAACAGACTAATACAAGTACTACAGAACATAGATGCTCAGAGAGATAAATTAGAAAGTTCATAGACAGTCTGCCTTGAATATTCAGTTGATTACTGATCAGAGCATTCATGTGAGAAACTTACCTTGAGCCAGGAAAAAGATCACTAAAAGGATTAGAGGGAAAAATGTCTGAAGCTTACAAAGGACGGGGACTAATGCTGATTCCCACCAGTCAGAATAAAAAACTTCATAAGTCATGGGACATCAGATAGAGAACTACTAAGGGTCTTGCTTCAGTAGTGGGGCATAGTTACCCCTAAACGAAATGCTGTGCTGAAGGTCCAACCTGAAAAGCTTAAAAGCACGAGCTAAAGAATCAAACTGTTTCCAAGTAATATAACTATGCCCCAGACCAAAGTTCATGAATATATTTAGGAATACAAAAATAATCCCCACCTAAGGTACATTCATAACGTCTGGCATCCAATACAATGTTATCAGGTATCTTGAGAGGCAGGGAAATACAACCCATAATGAGGGAAAAAATAAGTCAATTGAAACTAACACAGATATGCCACCAATGATGGCATTAGTAGTCAAGGATATGGAAAGCATTAATATAACACTATTCCATATACTCAACAAACTAGAGTAAATATTGATTATACCAAGAGAGACATAGTAGATACAAAAATAAAAATTTTAGTGATAAAAACTGAGGTGAAAAATATACTAGATGGGTTGATTAGATTAGAGATTGAAGAAAAAAGGTAAGAAACCTGAATAGAAATTATCTAGAATGAAACAGAATAAGGGTTGAAAAAAATGAGTAGAGCATCAGTGAACCAAGGGACAACTTCTAGGAGCCAAAGATTGTGAAATTGGAATCTCTGGAGGAAGAAATGGGAAAGAGGTCAGAAAAATATTTGAAGTAATAGTAGCTGAGTGTTTCCAAATTCAATAAAAACTACAACTTACTGATCCAAGAAGTTCAACAAAACCCAAATACAAGAAAACCAAGAAAAATGCACCATGAAATAGCACAATAAAATTTCTTAAAACTGGTGAAAAACAGAAATGCAGTCAGAAAATAAGTACCTTACATGCACACTGAGGAATAATGGTAAGGATGACAGATTTCTTGTAAGAAACCACATAAGCTAGAAGACAGTAAAGCAACATCTTTAAAGTACTGTAAGAAAAACAGTCAACATAGAATTCTTTATCTCACTAAAAAATCTTTCAAAGGCAAAGTCAAAATAAAGACTTTAAATACATTCAAAGGCTGAAATAATTTATTACCAACAGATTTGCACTATAAGGGATGTTAAAAATAAGCCTTTTATGCAGAAGTAAAATTATACCAGATAAAAACATAGCTCTACAAAAAGGAGTAAAAAGCTCCAGAAATGTTTACTGAAAATAAATGGGATAGGGAACCAAGTTAAACTACACCAGGAAGAAAAAATTCAGCCAAATCCAGGACATGGAACATTTCTTATTTCTCCTGACTTAGTTTCTTTTCTTTAAAACAAAACAACAACAAATAAAACCTCTGTATACTTACTAGAATAGGTAAAATAAATAAAAACATTAAAAATGCTGCATTTTGACAGGATATGACTCAACCAAAACTCTCATACATTTCTGGTGAATGTGTAAAGTGATAAAAACACTTCCAAAAATTTTTTAATAATTTCATATAATGTATGTTATATTTACATACATTTTTACCGTATGAACCACTAAGTTCAATCCCGGATATTTACCCCAGAAAAACAAAAGCTTACATCCACAAAAAGACTTAAAAGAGAATGTTTATAGCTTTACAGTGCCTATCTTCATAATAGCCTCAAACAAGAAACAATCTACAGTAAATAACTCAACAAATCATAATATATCCATAAAATAATATTTAGCATTAAAAAGGAATGAATTACTAGTGCAACCAAAATATGGCTAAATCCCAAAGACTTTACGCCAAGTCAAAAAGACAGACACAAAAAAGATTTGTACTTTATAGTATTTATATAAAGTTCTAGAGCAAGTTCAAAGCCAATCTATGAAAAGTGATTGCCTCCGAGGTGGGGAACTGACCAGATAGGGACGTGAGAAAACTGTCTTCAGCGATGGAAATGTTCTCCATCATGATAACGGTGTGGGTCACACAAGTGTATCCACTTTTCAAAAATTAACTAAGTGATATACTTAGATTCATGCTTTTCATGGTATATAAATTATACTACAATTTTAAAAGGGGGGATGGAGAGAAAAAGGCATTATCATCAAATATGTAGACACTGTATAGATCCCAATACAAAATAACAAAACAATAACAACAACAAAACTTGACTGTAAAACAACATATTTGAGACAAAGAAATGTGAAAATGAACAGACTGTTAGATGATATCAAAGAATTATTGTTAATTTTGTTCTAGATGACAAAGCTGTGTAAGAAAATAATCTTTATTTTTATTTTTATATGAAAAAAATTTAGGTAAGATAGCATGATTTTAGGAATTTGCTTTTAAATGCAATTTAAGAAGAAATTTAAAAACGAGGGCTAGTTGGAGCAAGTGTAGCAAAATGGTGATATTTGTTAAATCTGAGTAATGGTTAAATAGAGATTCACTAAATTCTCTACTATAAGATATATGTGTGTGTGTCTGTGTGTGTGTGTGTATATATATATAGAAAGAGAGGAGAGAGAGAGTAGAGATAATTACAGCAAATTCTCTGCTATGAGGAATATATTATAGATTGATAATTATGTCAATTATCAATCTATGATATATATATACAGTAGATAAATACATAGGTGAAAATTTTATAATAAAAAATATAAAATGTTCCAGGAAAACTTCATGATAAAAATGAAAAAGATGTTTTTAAAAATGAGCTGTACTGATCTCCATGATTTGAAACTGAGTCCTAGGCTGGTATCTTTATGATCAAAGATGACCCTATATTTTCTTTGCCCGTGGTATTGCTGGTAGTGAGGGCTCCATTTGGCCTGGAGGCTACTTATCAAGCCCATGTCTAGACCTCTGTAGAGGAATTCCTCCTGGCTCTGTTCTTTCTAGTGACACGAGTCACATTACCATATTCTGTATATTTTACTTTCTTTTATTTTATGTTTTTGTTTTGTTGTTTTGTTTTCAGAGATAGGGTCTAGCTATGTTGCCTAGGCCGGAGCACAGTGGCTATGAGCAAGTGCAATGACAGCACACTGCTGCCTCAAACTCCTGGCCTAAAGCAATCCTCCTGCTTAGTTTTCCAAGTAGCTGAGACTACAGGCACATACCACCATGCCTGGCAATATTCTGTGTATTTTAGATAGTGCTTACGACTCGGGCTGATGGGAACCTGGACTCAAGGGTTATTTCACATTCCTTATCTTGAAACTTTTTGATCACATACCCTTATCAGTTAAAAAAATATGAGCAAACACTTCCAATACATTTATACTTATTTATTTATAAATTTTACACAAACACCAATGTCCTAATATATTTTGTAGTTAAACATTACAAAATTTATGTTAAAATATGGGATAAAGGTAAAATAAATACTATATTTCTAATCTTGTAGCTTTATAATATCATTGGTCAATATCTCAAAACACAATATACATGTACACACTATGATATACAGAGGCTGCCCACTGACACTAAGCATGATCTAAGTCTTTTGTCTGTAAGAGTCTGCAGAGAAGCCATCACCCCATAAGGCAGGGCCTGGTCCTCCCCTTTTATCACACCTGCTTCAGGCCATCCATTTAGACATTGATTTCTTTACCTAAAAATGTTTCGCTAGAGAATGGTTGTTCTTGTTCTCCCAAGCCTCCCCTGCCTTCCTCTGCATCCTCACTTAGCCATTTTCCTCTGGACCTTGGATACTATCCTTGCTGGACTCTCTGCCTCCCGTCTTTAACCTCACTGCACTGTACCATTAGATCAAACCTTCCATGATCCCATATTACCTACAGAAAAAAAGTCCCCGGCACCTCTACCTGACAGACCATCCTAAAACCTTGCTTCTTTCCTGCTGCTTCCTTCTACAATCATTAATTTCCGTGGTTTCTTTACTGTACTCAAACATTCTGGGCACATCCCTGTATCCTAGATTTTTAAAGTGCTTTTCTCTTTATCTGCAATGCTCTCCTCCCTTCCTTCCTTAATGATCCTTAGATTTAAGTTCCAGTTTGGATACCCCTCTCTACAAGGCATTTTTAGACCATCCTGACTGGTGAGAATTTCTTCTTCTCCTAAATGCCTACAGTGGTTATTGATGTTTTCTCTCATTTGGTTTTTATAGACCACAATTTATGCCTCTTTTATATTCTTTCTCTAATCTAGGTACAATATAGATGCTAAATAAATGAATAAGTGAATGAAAAAAGTAACTTATCTACACTTGTCTCTGGAGGTGATATCTTATCCTGGGACTTTATTTTTTCTCTAAAAGGACACAGAGCAGTGAAACTGTAGGGATTAGAAAAATCAGCAAAGGGTCATCAGATTGCCCTAAATATGAATGGCACAGTCTTGGTCTCCATGAGACGAAATTCTAGCCTCTCCCTGACCTTATTCCTTCTCCCACGGTGTCTTGTACTGTGTCAGAAACCCTAGTAACACTGATGATTTTGTCTCTCCGCTTGTCTCTCAGGTCTCCTTTCTGGCCTAGGGTGCAGGGTAAGCTGGAGTATATTGGAGGAAAAGCTTTCCTACCTCTTAGGGAAGGATCTACTACCTACGTCCTCTGAAGAAGGGTATAAGATTAGAGGAGATTGAAAAACTGAAACTGACCCTAGTGGAGCCAGGATCAGCTCACTGAGGTTAGGGCAAGAATTAAATAAAAGCTCAGATACTGATGTGAGAGGAGTAATGCTAGGGAAGGTGTGCTTTGGACATTACTTGAAGGGGAAATCATGAGACCTAGAGGTTACTTGCTGTTTCTTCATTTCCTTTTAGCACTGAGAGACGGATGATTCCCTTGTAGATATTTTGCCTACCAAGTGAATAGCGGTCAGTATGGGTGTGGTGGGGCAGAGTAAATAACCAGGATTTTTTTCTAGGTAGAGGAGGAGTAACAAAGAGAATAGAACATGTAGCTAATAACTGAAGCATTTCTGTTTAAAAATGAACTCTATTTAAAATAAGAGCATGCATACACAACACTAATTACCCGTGAGTGTATTAGGAAGATCCAATTTAGTGCTTATAGGCCCAAGTTTGTAATGTCTTTCTTTATTTGAACATTAATTTGCTTTAAATGCTTAACCTAATGTGGAATTTCTTAATTTATTAAGTGTTTATTAAACATATACTTTGTGTTTAACATTGATAGTACAAAGAACTATTCTTTTATTAATATTTCTGTAAATTCTATTTTAATCTTTCTTAACGTAGACTCAAAAGGTAATTGGGTAAATATGGATTTTAGATCTGCTGCTTTAAAATTGATAGGCATATGAGGATAAGGTAAGTCCACTAAATGAGAATGCAGTCTCTAGGTCAATATTTTGGGCCTGAGGACCTGGAATAAGGGGCAAATTTGTAAAAAGAAAAGGAAGCATTTTGAGAGACTGTATCAGAAAGCGAGGAATGGGTAGGAATGTATCCACCAACCAGAAGATGCAACTTTCTGAGAAAGGGTCAAAAAGCAGGAGAGAATTAGTGGATTTTCAGGAAATGGTCAGTGCAAACAGGAAAGGCCTGGGGTCTGCAGCTTGACAGATGAGCTGGGCAGAATGTGAGCACAAGTAGCAGATGAAATTTTAAAGAGAATGAGAGAGAGAGAGTGAGAGAGACAGAGAGAGAGAGAGAGAAGTAGCATTTGGTTTGTGCCTGACTAAAGCCAAAAGGAGGACTATGTCAAACGGTGTCACTATGTATTTATAACTAGCCCACCTATGCTCTCACATAAACAACATATTTGTATTTATTTAAATATTTATTATATTTTATTTCTTTTTTCCATTAAAAATAGGATTAGCCCTCTAAATGGCCTGATCATGGATGTGCTGCAAAGGCACTCGGAGGGATGGAGATCACAGAGGACATGAAGGGAAAGAGAGACCATACATACAGAGGACTGTAAAAAGCACATGAGCAGCTTAAAGGATAATATAAAATGTATACCCATACAGCTATCTCCTGGGCCAAGAAATCAAATCCAGCCAGCACCCAGAAGTTCCCTCTATGCCCTCTTTAACTCTACCACTTTCCCTCAGGAAGATATCTTAGATCAGGGTTCCCCAACCCTCAGGCTGTGGATGGGTACCTGTCCATGGCATGTTAGGAACTGGGCTGCACAGCAGGAGGTGAGTGGTGGGCAAGTGAGCATTACAGCCTGAGCTCTGCTTCCTGTCAGATCAGCAGCAGCATTAGATGCTCATAGGAGTGCAAACCCTATTGTGAACTGCGCATGTGAGCAATCTAGGTTGAGTGCTACTTATAAAAACCTAATGCCTGATGATCTGAGGTGGAACAGTTTCATCCTGAAACCATCGGCCCACCCCCACAGTCCGTGGAAACATTGTCTTCCGTGAAACCAGTTCCTGGTGCCAAAAAGGTTAGGGACTGCTGTCTTAGGTTATTGTAAAAACGTTATAATTTTGCATTTTACACTTAAGCTTTTAATTAATCCTGAACAAAATTTATTTTTTGTTCACTCTTTCATTTAGCATCTATATTGTGCCTAGATTTGTGGTACAACCCATTAAAAAAAGATTGAATTCTTTTTTCTTATTTGCACACTCAGTTGTGTTAGTACCATTTATTCATTTATTAAAATGTCTATCCCACTGCTCTGCATAAATCAAATATTCATTTGTATATATATATCTGTCTCTAGGCTCTGAATTTATTTAACCTGGTTTAAAGAAACACTTCAAAAGTTGTGAATTTAAGCCTCTAATTATTTTAGCTTTCCTTTGTTGAGCATTTACTCTGAGGCCATTCCTATGTTTAACAATCACAGGTGAACAATCTTCATTTAGTCCTCACAAGAACCCTGCATGGGTGTTCCTATTATTTTCCCCATCTCACAGGTGGTTCAGAGATTAAATAACTTGCCCATGGTTACCTAACTTGTTAGTGATAGTCAGGATTCCAAAGTCTGTCCTCCTGTGCTCTGCCTGAAACCCAGACACTAATGGCTAGCAATTCTGTCTCTGACCATTTTGGTTACAAGCTTTTAGGCAAATCATCCTGGACCATTCTGCCGTTCTAAATATGTGACTTGCTCGCTGTGTCTATATATGTCTATGAAGACGTGTCTGCTGATTGGATTTTAATTCTTTGTCTCTTTAAAGAATCAAATATCAGTCAGCTGCCAAGCAGCCAAGTCCCAGGCTCTCAGCCATGTGCTCTTGCCAACGGTTCTTGGCTGGGTCTGGGGTTTTCCCAAAAGAGTTCGAAACTTGATACTTATTCTTCAGCCTAATTTCCAACCTGTGATGCCTTCCTGAGCCCACACAGGTAGTTGATTGTGCAGCTTTTTCTTTGTGTGCAAAGAATGTTCCGTCACCAGCTCAGATTTACTCTTCTCAAGGGTGCCAGTGAGAGACAGCAGCCTGTCGAAATGGGAGGGTTGACTGGAGGATTAGAAATGGATCCTTGGACTGACATGCACTGCTTGGATTGCCAAGCAAGGCTGCATTTTCAAATGGCATAATTATGTAAGGTCTGTTTCAGTGCTAAAATCTGGTTTATAAAAAAAGGATAGGTTAGGGGCAATGCGATTCACACTGAATTCACCAAATCCTTGATTATGAAACATTTTCAGAATGTTGGAAATCATTTCTGGGTAACCCCACTTACACAATAGTTCCCAAAGCTGCCAGACACACTGGTATGAAATGCTTAAGTAAGGTCAATAAACAACGTGCAAGTTCATTGCCTTTCTCTGAAATATCTTACTGATTCTGGATATGAAGAATCTGGATAATCTTTCCTGCTGAATAAACACATTGCAGCGTGGATATTACTACCTTGACCCATCTACATGGCATAGCATGAATTGACCTAGCCCTCATGAGGTTGCAGGAGGGAATGCTGCAATATGTGACTTTGTTGTTTAAATATTTTATACTTCTCTGTTCCAGAGCTCATAACTTGAGATATGATGGCTAAGGGCCAGCAGCATTTTAGAAAGATTAGTTCAGGTTTTATCTCCAAGTCTGTGCCATGCTCAGTGGTACCCAACCACACATCCTTAGGTTTGTTGACAATCTGTCAGCAGCAGGATGACTTTAGTTCTTAACACAGGTGGTGTATTCTGCTGGAAAATGTGGTAGACACTGTGAGGCCACTGCTTGGGTGTGTAGTGATTATTTTCTGTTTTATCGGACTCAGGTCCTAGTTTTCTTGAGGAGTAGATAGAATATGCCCGTATTTATTGACCACTTATGCCACCAGATTCCAGATTCCTCACTACCAGTCTATGATGTGAAGATGCTTTTGATATACCTCATACCTTTTCACCTTTTAAAAAAAAAATTGTCATCAGCAGTTGTCACTACTCTCAGCATGGGTTCCAAGAATGACCTCGAATGATTATGTAAGTATTGGATTTATTTATGAAAAGGAAAGACATAGATTCCCTCATGGCAAAATCCTGAATTGCACTGACACCTCCTCTTCAAAATCAGCTGCAAGCTAAGTGTTTATTTCAGAATGTCCTGGCACTGGAGAAAGCTGAGAGAATGAGGAAAGAATATTCTGTCAATTTAACATGTTCTGGACTTACATATAGCTAGTTCCATGAAAAGACGTTTCTCAAAGACTGAATTTTTGCTGTTAGTCCCAAAAAGTTCTGGCACAGATTGGTTCACTGTAAATGGGGCTCAGGAAAATCAGTGAAAACCTGTAACATTATATTTTTGAAGTGATCTTTAACAGATAGTGTCTAAATTTATAGAGAATGTGTTGACAGCAAGAAAATTGGCATTGATTAAAAACTTGCGAGAATGCAAGTTATAGATAGACAGCTGCTGGGATGTTTCTCTCTCTTGTTTGCTGATTTGGGATGTGGTAGATGAAAGTCCTGCTCTTCCACTTGCACTGCTAAATAATCTTTCTGAGAGCATTGGAAATTGGGAGAGAAAGCCTTTCTGATGTATTAGAAGATAAACCAATAAAAGCAAAAGGCCATGTCTGAGGTGGTTATGATGGCTGGTGGTGCCTCTCCCCATCCCTGAATCTGTGTTAGCTGAAACACGAAGCAAGGTGGAATCCAGAGACTAGTGTATGAAGCCAAGACTAGGCTGGGTGAGCATAAAGCCAGATGGCAGCTTCTGACTTCATGGCAGCCCACCCCACCCTATTATCATTCTCAAGGACTTTTGAGAAGTTTTCCTCTAGCTTCTCAGAATAGATGTGGGGTTAGTAACCTCTGTGTGAGTTCTCATCTCCAGAATGCCTGCAACTTTATTCATCTAGTCAAAGGTATTCCTGGGCTCTGAGGTGTGCAGTGAGTGCTTCAGTCAAGCTTGCCTTGGAACTTGGAGTTTTAATTAATAAGATTAAAGGGACAGGGAAACTCCAGGAGGTAGAATTTGTATAGAATAATGGCATAATGCTTTACAGCTTACAAACTATTTTCATATCTAAGATGGGAGAGACTATCTGGTCATTATTGATTATACCCAACCACAGCCACAGCCTGATGGTGAATAAGTGCCAGTATTTGTTGAATTTATGATTAACAAAAAGAACTATCATTTTCACTTGGTAGCCATAATCTAACCAATGATGTAGGCAGAGCTGTTGTCATACATCCTGATTTTGCAAATAAGGAAATGAAGTCTCTGAATACATTTTAGGGGTAAATGCATTTTCCCTAGAACTCAGGCTGCTAGATTACTACATTGGAACCATAATTGAGTTATTTTTATTCCAAACCCAGTGTTCTTCCTACCATACCAAAGAAAGAAAAATAGAGGAGAAGGAAACTAAAGTTATTTGTGCCATACTTTAAGGGAAATTGATGAATTTCTAATTTTCTGTAAGTTTTTACAGAGATCAGTTGGAGGATGTTAGGGGCTACAGGTAGAGAAACTTCTTAGGGCATGGTCAAAGAGCTAGCTATTGGTTTGGAAGGTAAGATGTTAATCTTACCTTCTGCTGTGAAAATTCAATGCAGAATCTGGGATGAGAGGACTCACAAGGCAAGGGATGGAGGTGGGCCCCAGGGGTTAAAATATGCAAGGGTAAGAAGTAGGACAGACAAAGACTTGGGGGAATTCTAAGGGTCAGAAGCTAGAGTGCTTTAAAAAGAACCAGAGTTGAGCTAGAATTAATGCTGCTACAAAAAGGTAAGATAATTGAGACTTGTAGAGAAAAGACAACATATTTTATGACTGTGTCTCTATAGTGAAGCCATGATGCACAGTAACATGCTGTGTATTTCTCCCAGTGCTCCTCACTCACCCTGCCTCCTGGGGATTCTAGAAAACCTACAAGTTTAGAACCTAAAGCAGCTCCTGGGAGAATGATAGTAAATGCCTGTCTTAACTCCTAAAAGTTGAACATGAGATCCTGAGCCATATAACATGATAAGTTCTTATCCTTCATCTCTTGCACATTTTAAAAGAGGCCTTCTCTGTGTCCCTCACTCAATGATATGGTTTGGCTGTGTCCCAACCCAAATCTGTTCTTGAATTGTAGTTTCCCATAATCTCCACATGCCATGGGAGGGACCCAGTGGGAGGTAATTGAATCATCAGGGCAGTCCCCCATGCAGTTCTCTTGATAGTGAGTTAGGTTTCATGAGATCTGATAGTTTTATAAGGGGTTTTTCTCACTTTACTCGGCACTTCTCCTTCCTGCCACCATGTGAAGAAGGAGGTGTTTGCTTCCCCTTCTGCCATGATGGTAAGTTTCCTGAGGCCTCCCTAGCCATGCAGAACTGTGAGTCAATTAAACCTCTTTCCCTTCTAAATTACCCAGTCTCAGATATGTCCCTATAGCAGCATGAGTATGAAATAATACAGTAAATTCATACCACAGTGAGTGGGGTGCTGCTAAAAAGATACCTGAAAATTTGGAAGCAACTTTGGAACTGAGTGTCAGGTAGAGGTTGGAACAGCTTGGAGGGCTCATAAAAAGACAGGAAGATGTGGGAAAAGTTTAGAACTTCCTAGAGACTTGTTGAATGGCTTTGACCCAAATGCTGATAGTGATATGGACAATAAAGTCCAGGCTGAGGTGGACTCAGATGGAGATGAGGAACTTCTTGGGAACTGGCGTAAAGGTTACTCTTGCTATGCAAAGAGACTGGCAGTATTTTGCCCCTGCTTTAGAGATCTGTGGAACTTTTGAACTCAAAAGAGATGATTTAGGGTATCTGGCAGGAGAAATTTCTAAGCACCAAAGCATTCAGGGGGAAGCAGAGCATAAAAGTTTGGAAAAATTACAGCCTGATGATGCAATAGAAAAGAAAAAACCATTTTCTGGGGAGAATTCAAGCCGGCTGCAGAAATTTGCATAAGTAACTAGGAATCTAATGTTAATCACCAAGACAATGGGGATAATGTCTCCAAGGTATGTCAGAGACCTTCACGGTGGACCCCCATCACAGGATCACAGGCCTAGGAGGAAAAAATGGTTTCCTGGGCCAGGTCCAGGGCCCCCCTTCTCTGTGCAGCCTCAGAACATGGTGCCCTGTGTCCCAGCCACTTCAGCTCCAGCCATGGGTAAAAGGGGCAAAGGTAGAGCCTGGGCCATGGCTTCAAGGGTGCAAGCCCCAAACCTTGGCAGCTTCCACGTGGTGTTGAGCCTGTGGGTACACAGAAGTCAAGAATTCTGGTTTGGGAACCTCTGCCTAGATTTCAGAGGATGTGTGGAAATGCCTGGATATCCAGGCAGAAGGTTGCTGCAGGGGTGGAGCCCTTATGGAGAACCTCTCTGCTAGGGTAGTGTGGAAGGGAAATGTGGAGTCAGAGCTCTCACACAGAGTCCCCACTGGGCTACTGCCTAGTGGAGCAGTGAGAAAAGGGCCACCGTCCTCTAGACCCCAGAATGGTAGATCCACTGACAGCTCACACCATGCTCCTGGAAAAGCCACAGACACTCAACACTATCCTGTGAAAGCAGCCAGAAGGGCACTATATCCTGCAAAGCCACAGAGATGGAGCTTCCCAAGGCTGTAGGAGCCCACCTCTTGCATTAGTGTGACCTAGATGTGGGACATAAAGTCAAAGGAGATCATTTTGGAACTTTAGGGTTTAATGACTGCCCTATTGGATTTCAGACTTGCATGGGGACTGTAGCCCCTTTGTTTTGGCCAATTTCTCCCATTTGGAACGGGTGTATTTACCCAATGCCTATACCTCTATTGTATCTGGCAAGTAACTAACTTGCTTTTGATTTTATAGGCTCCTAGGCAGAAGGGACTTGCCTTGTCTCAGATGAAACTATGGACTTGAACTTTTGGGTTAATGCTGGAATTAGCAAAGATTTTGGGGGACTGTTAGAAAGGCATGATTGTGTTTTGAAAAGTGAGGACATGAGATTTGGGAGGGGTCGGGGGGACAGTAATATTTTTTGGCTGTGTCTCCACCCAAATATCATCTTGAACTGTAGTTCCCATAATCCTCATGTGTTATGGGAGGGACTTGGTGGGAAGTAATTTAATCATGCAGGTGGTTCCCCATGCTGCTGTCATGATAGTGAGTTCCCATGAGATCTGATGGTTTTACAAGGGGCTTTTCCCCCTTGCTTGGCACTTCTCCTTCCTGCTCCATGTGAAGAAGGACATGCATGCTTCTCCTTCCACTATGATTGTTAAGTTTCCTGAGGCTTCCCTAGCCATGCAGAACTGTGAGCCAATTAAACCACTTTCCTTTATAAATTATCCAGTCGTGGGTATGTCCTTATAGCAGCATGAGAACAAACTAATACACCCACCCAGAGAGAAAATGTGTTGAAATGGCAAGATTACCAGAAGAAGGCTCTGGGACATAGGTCCAGTCCTGGCTTTGCCAAAACTTATATGACCTTAGACAAGTCACTCAGACTGCCTGGGCTTTACTATCCCCATTTGGAAATAAAAATATTAACATAGATTCTATGTTATAGACAATCCGGCCGGGCGCGGTGGCTCATGCCTGTAATCCCAGCATTTTGGGAGGCTGAGGCAGGTGGATCACGAGGTCAGGAGATCGAGACCACAATCCTGGCCAACATGGTGAAACCTTGTCTCTACTAAAAATACAAAAATTACTTAGGCATGGTGGCGGGTGCCTGTAGTCCCAGCTACTCAGGAGGCTGAGGCAGGAGAATCACTTGAACCTGGGAGGCAGAGGTTGCAGTGAACCAAGATTGCACCACTGCACTCCAGCCTGGCGACAGAGCAAGACTCCATCTCAAAAAAAAAAAAAGATCCCTGAGTCTAACAATCTATGAAGCAAAAGAGAGAATCAGATACAGCTTCTTCATAGATAGGTTCCCCGGAGGCTATGTTTAATGCATGACTCTCAAGTCAGGCTGGTTCCCAGGTCCTGATTCATCAGGCTGGTGATTTATTAGGCTTAAATAACTACTATTCCCATATAAAAACAAACAAGCCTAATTTCGTTTATTTCTCCTACCTAAGAAAGAAGTCAAATGTTAATAATTTATAAAAATAGTGAAATAAGAAAGGACAAGGGATTGAAAAACCAGAGGCAAAGGCTTTTTTTTGCTTTGAGAAAGATGACAGACCATTTCCTTGAGTTATTAGTGTACAGTGTCTAGGGAATGCATATAAAGAGCAGATGAATCCATTTGGCATGTCCACACAGCAATATTTGGAGAGGATGGGAGTATTTCCAGAGAATGATAAACACTAACATGCCTTCAAAAGCCTGAACTTGGGGTGGAGCAGAGACTTAGAAAGATACTAGTCTGAGAATGACATAATTCTAAATGCATGACTCACATTTACTTTCACTAAGCAAAGTTTCTGGGTAGAATATATACCCAGGGATGTCGTTAGTATTCCTTGTAGAATCATTACCTGGGACAACAGTTAGTCAATTACTAATACTCCTGCAGATTGAAAAGAGATAGGCTCCAAGCAGGATGAGATTGAGTTTTACTTGAATGTTTCCTAATTTGCTTTTCTTATTATATTTACTGTACTAGAGAAGCAGTGTGTGCAGTGGTTAGAAACTTGAAGACACTCTACCCATGGTGTATCATTTAGTAGCTGGGTGAGCTTGAGCAAATTATTTAATCTCTTGCTTCAGTTGGCATGTCTCTGAAACAGGATTATAACAGAATCTCAGAGTTGTTGTAAAGACTAAGTGAGCTAATACTCATATATAGCTTGGAAGAGTGCCTACTGAGTGCTGAGTAGCACTGTGTGTTACCTAGGGTAATTATTGCTCCTGTTACATATGTTGGTGTGGAATAACTTGTGTGGCCACGACCAGGTAAGGTGCAGGTATCTAATTTGGAGTCATGATTGGGCACTGGCCAAGTAATGATAATTGTTAACATCGGCTGGACTAAAAAGACCAAAACTTGGGTGGAAAAGTCTTACTACTTCTTACTCATGGTTAAGTCTTCTCACATAACCAGTAGTTGGCTGTACTTTGGTTTTCATTCTAATCGTACCCCATCTCTCCAAAGTGGGAAAGAAGAGTTGAATGAGTATAACTTGATAATGATATGAAAAATTCAGTGGTCTGAGATAGAAAGGTGATGTGTTGTGACAATTCTTTCAACAATATTGGGAACTGGATTAGGAGTGAAGGATCATGAAACTAGCAGCTATTATAATTCACAGATGCATTTCACTCCAGAAATAGGATATTCCAAGCTCTTTCCGTGCTTACTTAGTTCTTTATAGATTTTCAGTTTTAGCAGAGAGTATTTGCCAATCATATGGCACCATCATATGCTTGAAATGAGAAAAACACCATTTGGGGACAACTGGACTCAAGAGAATTAACATGTTTCCATGCTGTCAATATTACTAAGAAGGAGTCAGACATTCCTTACACAATATCTTCTTTCTATACTTTTTATTTTAAGTAGATACACTGATCTGTGTAATGTTTCTAATTCCAAGTCTGTGTAAATAAAAAAGGAGAAGTGGATTGGATAGCAGGTCATACATAGAGAACAACATGACTCTCTAAGTAGCAGGTCATACTCAGAGAACAGTATGCCTCTTGTTTTATTTACCTCTTTTCAAATAAGTAAAACAGCCTCTGTTTTCTTCTCTTTTCCTCTCTGACATTCTGGTAAGTTTAGTATCCATTATTCAAACAACTATGGCTAAAAACAAAGTTTAACATTTTTTGTATCTAATTGGAAAACAATGAAGCGTTCTCATTACATGATGATAATAAACAACACTCTGGGCTTGTTCTTTCCTAACTTCATTTCTTATTTGAACAAACATCCTTTCTGCACCCCAGTAATTGTTCACGTAAACCATAGTTCATTTCTTTAGTTCAAGTCCAGGAACCAAACTTTGTTTGCAAAAGTGCTCTAATCTTTACTGAGTACAGTTGGCAAACAATTTCATTTTGTGTGTACTAAGAAGGGTGCAAGGTTGGAAATGAGGGATGTGAGGCTACAGACTGGATAGCAGTGGACATTTTTTCTGAGGTAATGACTTTAATAATCCTACACTTGACAGAAAGGGCAAGACAGAATATAAAGTTGACAGTTCTAAGCTTTATTATTCCCCTGAATTTTGGCAATTACTTTAGCTCTTGTAATCAGTCATTACACTTACCATTTTATCTCTAAAGCCATAGATTGAAAATACTTATACACATCCACTAATCTCTATATCAATGGTATCAAGCAGATGGTAGATTGTGTAAGTTAGGATTAGTATCAACTGCATGTAACAGACAAATTCAGAACAACAGTGACTTAAACAAGATTGATGTCTCTTATTTCTCTCTCACACAAACAGAATACAAAAGTAGGCAGTCCAGAACTGATAAGGTGGCTCCACTGAGTTGTCAGGAACCCAAGATCCTTCCATGTCTCTGTTTTATCATCCCTAACTGTGGCTTCTGTCCCTAAAAGCCCCCCAAAGCCTCCAAATCACATTTATAGACTGGGGAACAAATGAAGGAGACTCTCCATTAAGGGATTTTTCCCTGGAACTCCATTTAACCATTATATCTACATCTCATTGGCTGAAACTTAATGACAGCTAAGAGGGCTGCAAGAAAGGCTGAAAAATTGTGCCTTTTGCTAGGTAGTTACACACCCAGCTAAAGATGTGGTCTCCTATGGCCAAGAAGCAAAGCATAGATAATGGAAGTTAGCTAGCAGTCTCTGTGCAGAATATTGCAGTAGATTCTAAGGGTAGAAAGAAATTGAAAGGAGCCTGTGAAATAACACCTAGCCTTTCAGAAACCTATATTTATCTTCTCTAAGTTTATTATTTCTATAAGTAAATGCAGGTTAGCAGGTTATATTATTAAATTCATGTATTGATAATGTAGCAGTTGCAAAAACTGATTATAGAAAGTGGAGGACATAAGAGAATTAAGTCAGGAAGTTAGCTTTTCTACTCTTCTCAGACCACCCATCTGCTGATCCTCAGGAAGTTACATGCCATGATAGTGTGAGCATTATGCACATATCACCACGTCCTGACACCTCTACAAACAAAAGGCAAGTGCATATGCAAAGAGAGGGTAATTTGAGGTATAGGGGAGACCCAGACATTGTCATAACAAAATAGATGACTCCAGAACTGCTGCTCGGTTGAAGAAAAACTCTATTAAGTTCTAGATGACTTAAGAGAAGGCATATATTTAGAATAACCTATGTAGGAAATGAAATTATGCACAATACTATGATAAAAATGAGTCCATGAGTGCTGAAGGGGCACAGGAAACACATACACAAAGGTAGGACTCAGTGAAGAAAAGCCTGGGGAGAGAGAGTATTGAGGGTCTAGTTGAATGAAGGTCCCAGCCAAGAAGCCATGTGGAGGATTCCAGCTGGCTGAGAGGGTACTGGTAGTTCGTTCTCTCCTCACAACGTTAGTTTCAAACACCTCTTAGGGCTTAGAAGAAAAAAGTGTGCAATTTAATCACCTATTACTCCAGAAATAGTTGAAGCAAGAATCGGAATCACATCTATCATCCCATAAAAGCCAAATAATGAAATTTTAAATGGAAACTAAGAGCAGAAACGCAGACACCCACTTGTAGATCACAGAAAGAACACCTCTCTTGGGGTATTTTGTTCTTTGCCCTGGCTGTAAGGGAATCCCAGGTCAAGTCCACACGTGGAGCTCACTGTGGTCAGGTAGCCCTGGGTGACCTAAGTCTTCTCAGGGATCTTTGTGAAACACGCAACCCTATTAACTTTACAGTTTTATTTAGTCTCACTCTAAGGGGTGGATCAGTCTTTCTGACTGACCTGAGACAACCCCGTGCAGCTGTGGCCTTGACAAAATTCTCAGTTATCCCTCTGGCAAGGACAGAAATGAAATCATGAAAGGATTAAAAAAATTCCTTTTTCTCTAAGATTGCAAAGTCCCCTCAGATGGTTGAATGGAGAGCAGATAAGGAGAATGCGTGAGAAGCACTTTTCCTCAGACCTCAGCCTTCCTGTAGCCCAACCCAACAGCATTTTACCCCTAGGATTATAAAGAGAATGACTGGGGAATTAGACCAGCAGTATTATTAGCAATATACTAGGAGGCACAGCCCCCATTTCTACCTCAGGATCTGAAGTACCTTTGATACATCTTCTGGTTTCTTGGGCTTTGTCCTATTCTGATAACAAGTGCAGGCACAATTCGAGAGGCTTGATGTATCACACTTCTTAAACCTCTTCAATGTGGCTGGCCAAAAACAACACTTGACCATCCTTTTTCTTCCCCTTGAAGGTGCTGTAGGGCTGTATTTGGAACACTTAGGGGTTCTGGGAGCCACCAGTGGTCCTTGCAAAGAGAAACTAGGGAACAGGGATGTTCTCAGCTGTGAGGATCTGTGAAGGGTATTCTCCTAGCCTTCTACTTGGTAAAATGTCATAGAGATGCATAAAAGGGAGACAAGCAAGGCTCTTCAAACTGTTTATGGAAAAGCACAATATTCATGTATTAAATTAACATCTGATGATGCCCGTCTTAATCAGGCATTAAACCAGGAACTAGAGATACAATGGTGAACAAGACAAATAGGGTACAATGGTGAACAAGACAAATAGGGTCTCCCCCACAGTGGCACTTACATTCTCAAGGAAGAACAAATTTTGGACAACCGAATTCATAAGTTAATTATTTAGTTGCAGGGATGCTAAACTACTACAAGGAAGTGCTAAGTTTTACAGAGTGTATTACAAGGGCATTCACCCAGCATGTGGTTCAGGAAAGGCTTTCCTGAGGTTGTGTTTTGGGGTTTAAGCTGATATCTGCAGGAGCTTACTAGCAAAGATGGTGCTCCTGTCAGAGGAAAAAGCAACGGCAAGGCCCCAAGGAAGAGGATAGAGCATTACCACGAGAAAGAAAAACAGCAAATCTAGAACCCAGTGAGCAGAGAGCCTTCCTCCATTGGGCTGAGGCTGGCAGGCCATCTTAAGGATTTCCACATCCCATGGAGAAAAAGAATTGCAAAAGCTTCCAGATAGGGAAAGGAGTATTTCGAGCTCTCCTTCTTAGATTTTGCTCTTTAGCTTCTGATTTAATATCTCTAGCTGATGAATTTCAAATTTTTAAGGCAAACTAAGGAAAATCAAACAAATATTTAAGCTTTGTGTAAAATTAGATTCTTTTTGTTTTTCTGAGAGAAAATATTTACTTATTTATCTTCTTTTTTAAACTTTTATTTTAGGTTCAGGGTACGTGTTCAGGTTTGTTATATAGGTGTCATGGGGGTTTGGTGTACAGATTACTTTATCACCCAGGTAATAAGCATAGTACCCAATAGGTAGATAGGTACTCTCCTCCTACCCTTCACCCTCAAGTAAGCCCCAGTGCTGCTCTTCCCTTCTTTGTGTCCACATGTACTCAATTAAAACTAAATTCTTAGATAATTAACAAGCAAATGTCCAGAAATGTAATAATTAATGTTTTATCTGATTTAATACATCTATAATTCAGTAGATTTGGCCTTGGCACTTGAACTCATTTACCTCTAAACCCGTATGCAGATATGTTAACCTCCTGATTCATATCCATTCACACTTTCTGCATAAAGCATCAAATGCGTGCTAATTTTGAATAGTGAAAGAAAAACAGATTCTCCTGGATCAAGGAATAACTCTATTGGGAACGCAGAAACTTATTGATGAAAAAGTAAAGTACTCTCTTGCTGCAAAATTGGATATCACCCTTTCACCCTGATCAAAGTATGGAGACATCAAATCCATCTAAAAAAGGTAAAAAGTAAGGTTAAAAAAGAATGTACCCGCAAAGACTTTCAACTCTTAGTCTACTTAAAAATTTCTCAATCTACTATTCCTGAAAATGTAAGCACTTGAGACTTAAAAGAGCTTATATTTCTTTTTCCAACTCCCATGCATCTAGAATGATAAGATGGTAGGGCTGTTTTGCTTACTGCGACACAGGCTTTTAGCTAATTTCCAAATTCAATTCCTCCTCTTCTTGGGAACACAGCCTGACTACACTTCACATTGCAGTCATGTGTGCCCAGTGGAATAAGAATGGAAGTGATGTAGGCCATTTCTAGGTCTGGCCCATAAAACTTCCCCAAAAGGCCATTCTTTGTATTCCTTTTGCCTTCATCAGCTTAATGAAAATAAGCATGGTGACCTTAGAAATTACATGATAAAGATGATGGAGCCATAAGACAGGGAAAGCCTGGGTCCCTGCATCAAAGCTTGTCAAAAAGTAGCCCACCTATCAGACACCTGCTGCTTAGGGCTCTGACTTTTACTTCATCATTCATTTTTGGCATATAACTTTTTTCTCAGAGCTCTGCTGTGATTTAAACTTTATGCTTTGTTCCAGCTGTATAGTTTATTGTAATTTCTATGTAATTATATTACGAAGATATCACATATTAGTTCCCCATGTTGCTGGAACCAGAACTATAATAATATGTACATTATTAGTGCCCTAATAAGTAGCAAAATCAATATTTAAGAGGTAGTTTTGGATCTTGCAGTGCCTCTTGTCATCACTATAAGCTATCATATTTCATTGTACCTGTTAGAATTGGAATCTCTGGTTAGTTGTTGGATGACTTCGGCTTCTTACTTATAAATATTGTGGATTGGCCTGATTATCCACCTTAAGGGAGGGCATTTCCACTTAGAGTACAACATATTCAAGTGATCTATCTAACCTTCCCAAGTGAGACAAACCTCCAAAATTTTAATATTACTTGGTAATTTACAATAGTGGGAGAAATTGCACAAGAAAAAGTGTAGGCATTTAGGAAAAAAGAGCAGTGTGGAAGTTGGTAAAGCAAGAGAGGAATTGTTCTACAGGAGGGTGTAGTATAGTGGCTAGGAGTCAGACATCCTGAATTTACCATTTAGCTGTGTAACCTTGGGCAAGCTATTAGCTCTCTCTGAACATAAGTTTGGTTTATTTTCTTTTTTTTTTTTTTGACACGGAGTCTTGCTCTGTCACCTGGCTGGAGTGCAGTGGTACGATCTTGACTCACTGCAACCTCTGCCTCCCAGGTTCAAGCGATTCTCCTGCCTCAGCCTCCTGAGTAGCTGGGACTACAGGTGCATGCCACCACACCCAGCTAATTTTTGTATTTTTAGTAGAGACAGTGTTTCACCATGTTGGCCAGGCTAGTCTCTCTTGACCTTGTGATCTGCCCACCTCAGTCTCCCAAAGTGCTGGGATTACAGGCATGAGCCATTGCACCTGGCCCATAAGTTTTTTTGTTATTGTTTTTTGTCCAGGCTAGAGTGCAGTGGCGCGATCTTAGTTCACTGCAACCTCCACCTCCTGGGTTCAAGCGATTGTCCTGCCTCAGCCTCCTGAGTAGCTGGGATAACAGGCACCCATCACCATGCCCGGCTAATTTTTCTATTTTTAGTAAAGATGGGGTTTTGCCATGTTGGCTAGGCTGATCTCGAACTCCTAACCTCAGGTGATCCACTCACCTCAACCATCCAAAGTGTTGGGATTACAGGTATGGGCCACTGTACCTGGCCCAAGTTTCTTATCTATAAATAGAGAATGATATTAACTATCTCATAAATTGTAATTTGGAAAAGTGAGATAATACATGTAGATTACTTAACACAGAGCCTGAAACAAAGCAAGCACTGAATATATGCTATATATGACTATTTAAAATTACTCTAGAAGTGGATGGGGAGGAAAAATGGCAAATGTGCTTGGTTGAAAGCTCCTAAAAAGGCAGCTTGCCAGCCCTCCTTGGAGCCCAAATCTGTTATCCAATCATCCAGTCCACTGCCTTAGCTGACTTAGGACACTTCAAATCTGGCCTCCCACTCTGTAATTAAGGGCCATGAAAACCCACAAGGTCATAGTGGCAAAACTGGGCCAGCTCTTCCCTCTCCCAGGACCTCCTCACCACTTGTTGGCAACGATCACCATAGCTCACTGTCAACCAGTTGCCACCACTATGTTTTGAAAGACTCAAAACCCCCATGATTCCATTTCCAGTGCCAGACTCAGGGCTCAAAAAGAAAACATGCTTCTGAATTTTTTGAATACTTTCCAGAAGCCCCTTTGGAAAGATCCAGGCTTTTGCTTTGAAAAATACCTTTGAACAGAGGCTGCTCTAGTGAAACTTGATCAATGGTATCTTAAAATGTATAGTAGATACTCAATAAATAAGAACTACTACTATGAGTAATTTCTTTAGTCACTATACTATTTAAAGTAAGTCTTTATATTCATTTTTATAAAATTTCAAATATTCTGACAATACTAGTTTTGTGTTTTGCCCAAATTCCATGAGGTTTTAAATTTTTAATACTAAGGAGATTTATGAGTCACTGACTGGCAGGATCTGCAGCATTTAACATCTCTGGTGTTAGAAAAGGGATCCATACAAGATAAAAATTGAAAAGGAAAAAGTGTTCAGTTTCAGAAGAAGCTACAGAAGTAGAGTAAACAGGGGAAACAATTTCTGATTATATCAAAAACAATTTGGAGAAATAAGACATTAAGAATTTTATTTCTTATGTCTAAGTAGATATCCTTTTCAATATTTATCCTGTGGCTTTGCTTGGCCTCTGTTTTTCCACTGGGTGGTCTTGGCTTAGCAGAGGACACGATTTCCCATACAAGTTTCATTATTCTCATCTCTCGTGGGCAAGTCCACCATGCTAGAGAATGTAGAAAAGCAGAGTTGTAAACTGATCTCTGGATTGACAGAGGAACCTGACCCTCGTCTTCCCATTTTATTTTCCCATTAAGTCAATCACAAGTATAAACATTTGCCCACATTATTTGGAGCTGAAAGACAAGGGGGCAAGCCAGAGGAAAATGAGACATTGGCCTAAGGAAGATTTTTTTAAAATTTCCCTTTCTGGTCTCTAAGTTTTGAGTGTGAACTGCAGAAATAGATGGATTATTTTCACTCTAATCCCTGAAGGAAGGGCAGTGGATAGGGTGTGGCAGATACTGCATTGGTTAGTACTGGAAGGCCCTTTTCCAAAAAGGTATGTGGTTATAAGAAAAAAACTACCAAAGCATCTTTCCCATTGTTTTATTCAGTAATCAATACAGAGCACTTTTGTGACTAAATGTATGGGGTTATTTTCCCATACCCCAGGCAATCAACTAAGTCTGCAGCAGACACCAACTGAGTGTCCTCTAATTCAATTCAATGCTGACACTACCTGGAGATAGCATCACCTCCTATCGGTTGAGGGCTCAGTCCCACAAGACTGCCCTCAATCCTTCACTTCAGATGCTGATCACAAGCCCCAGATTGTTTTACCTGTGTTTCTGACTGGCTGGCTATACATTGGGGTTCCCATGATCCCTTCCTTGGGTTCAATTACTTTACTAGAGCAGCTTGCAGAACTCAGAGAAACACGTACTTACATTTACCAATCTATTGTAAAGAATATTACAGAGGATATAGATGAAGAGATGTATAGGGCAAGGCATGAGGGAAGGAGTGCAGAGCCTCCATGCCCTCTCCAGGCACACCACCCTCTGGAAACCACTCATTCAGCCAGCTATCCAGAAGCTCTCTGAACCCAGTATTTTGGGTTTTTATGAAAACTTCATTAGGTAAACATGATTAATTAAATCATTGGGCATTGATGATCAACTCAACACTTAGCCACCTTTTTCTCTCCCAAAGCTGGGAGTGAAGCTTAAAGTCCCAACCCTCGAATCATGCCTTGGTCTTTCCAGTGACCAGCTTCCACCATGAAGCTACCTGGGGCAGCCAGCAATCAATCAACACATTAGTATACACAAAGACACATCACTTTGGGCTGGGCATGGTAGCTCATGCCTGCTGTCCCAGCACTTTGGGAGGCCGAGGTGGGTGGATCGCTTGAGGCCAGGAGTTTGAGACCAGCCTGGAGAATCACTTGAATCTGGGAGGGGGAGGCTGCAGTGAGCTGAGATCATGCCACTGCACTCCAGCCTGGGTGACAGAGCAAGACCCTATCTAAGAAAATAAAAAAAAAAAAAAAGACACATTGCTTTGAAGATTACTAGGATTTTAAGAGTTGTATGCCAGGAGATTGGAGGAAGACCAAATATATATTTCACAATATCACAGTAAGCTGAACTCCTGTCCAATGGTTCACACACAATTTTAGGGTTTGTTACCAGCCTCACATCAACCAACCTCTCAACTTGATAGTAAGTCAGCTGAGCTCAGAGTGACTTGCCCAAAGTTCTACAAAAACAGGAAATTCAGTTTTACTGATTAGCGATCTACCCTACTAAGAAATTATTGTCCTAAAACATGCCACATTAACATCTTGATATGTCAAGATTAACATCATTATAAGTCTTAACATGACTTGATAGTATAGAACAATTATGCATTGCTTAACAATGGGAATATGTTCTCAGAAATGCATTGTAGGGTGATTTTGTCATTGTGCAAACATCATAGAGTGTATTTATACAAACCTAGATGGTATAGCCTATTACACACCTAGGCTATATGGTACAGCCTATTGCTCCTAGGCTGTAAACCTACACAGCATGTTGCTACACCGAATACTGTAGGCAACTGCAATACAATAGTAAGTGTATTAGTCTGTTTTCATGCTGCTGATAAAGATATACCAGAGACTGGCCAATTTCCAAAAGAAAGGGGTTTAATTGGACTTACAGTTCCACATGGCTGGGGGAAGTCTCACAATCATGGCAGAGGGTGAAAGGTACCTTTTACATGGTGGTGCCATGAGAGAATGAGAAGGAAGCAAAAGCAGAAGCCCCTGATAAACCCAACAGATCTCATGAGACTTATTGACTATCACGAGAATAGCACGGGAAAGACCAGCCCCCATGATTCAACCACTTCCCTCTGGGTCCCTCCCACAACACACGGGAATTCTCGGACCCACAATTCAAGTTGAGATTTGAATGGGGACACAGCCAAACCATATCATTCCACCCCTGACCCCTCCAAATCTCATGTCCTCACATTTTAAAACAGTCATACCTTCCCAACAGTCCCCCAAATTCTTAATTCATTTCAGTATTAACCCAAAAGTCCACAGTCCAAAGTCTCATCTTAGACAAGGCAAGTCCCTTCTCCCTAGGAGCCTGTAAAATCAAAAGCAAGCTAGTTTCTTCCTAGATACAATGGGGGTACAGATATTCAGTAAATACAGCCATTTCAAATGGGAGAAATTGGCCAAAACAAAGAGGTTACAGGGCCCGTGGAAGTCCGAAATCCAGCAGGGCAGTCAAAATTTTAAAGTTCCAAAATGATCTCCTTTGACTCCATGTCTCACATCCAGGTCATGCTGATGCAAGAGGTGGGTTCTCATAGTCTTGGGCAGCTCTGCCTCTGTGGCTTCGCAGGGTACAGCCTCCCCCCAGCTGCTTTCACGGGCTAGCATTGAGTGTCTGTGGCTTTTCCAGGTGCACGGTGCAAGCTGTCAGTGGATCTACCATTTTGGGGTCTGGAGGATTGTGGCCCGCTTCGCACAGCTCCACTAGGCAGTGCCCCAGTAGGGACTCCGTGTGGGGGCTCCTACCCCACATTTCCCTTCTGCATGGCTCTGGCAGAGGTTCTCCATGAGGGCCCCACCCCTGAAGCAAACTTTTTCCTGAGCATCCAGGCATTTCCATACAACTTCTGAAATGTAGGCGGAGGTTCCCAAACGTCAATTCTTGACTTCTGTGCACGTGCAGGCTCAATACCACGTGGAAGCTGCCAAGGCTTGGGGCTTCTACCCTCTGAAGCCGTAGCCCAAGCTGTATGTTGGCCCTTTCAGCCATAGCTGAAGCAGCTGGGACACAAGGCACCAAGTCCCTGGCCCATGAAACCACATTTTCCTCCTGGGCCTCCAGGCCTGTGATGGGAAGGGCTGCTGTGAAGGTCTCTTACATGGCCTGGAGACATTTTCCCCACGGTCTTGAGGATTAACTTAGGTTCCTTGCTACTTATGCAAATTTCTGCAGCCAGCTTGAATTCCTTCCCCAGAAAATGGGTTTTACTTTTTTATCACATTGTCAGGCTGCAAATTTTCTGAACTTTTATGCTCTGCTTCTTTCATCAAACTGAATGCTGAACAGTACCCAAGTCACCTCTTGAATGCTCTGCTGCTTAGAAATTTCTTCTACCAGATTCCCTAAATCATCTGTCTCAAGTTCAAAGTTCCACAAGTCTCTGTGGCAAATGCCACCAGTCTCTTTACTAAAACATAGCAAGAGTCACCTTTGCTCCAGTTCTCAACAAGTTCCTCATCTCCATCTGAAACCACCTCTGCCTGGACCTTAATGTCCATACCAGTATCAGCATTATGGGCAAAGCCATTCAACAAGTCTCTAGGAGGTTCCAAACTTTCCCATATTTTCCTGTCTTCTGAGCCCTCCGAACTGTTCCAACCTCTACCTGTTACCCAGTTCCAAAGTTGCCTCCACATTTTTGGGTATCTTTACAGCAATGCCCCACTCTACTGGTACCAACGTACTGCATTACTCCATTTTCACACTGATGATAAAGACATACCTAAGACTGGGCAATTTACAAAAGAAAGAGGTTTAATTGGACTTACAGTTCCACGTGGCTAGGGAAGGTCTCACAATCATGGTGGAGGGAGAAAGGCACTTCTTACATGGTGGTGGCATGAAAGAATGAGAAGGAAGCAAAATCAGAAATCCCTGATAAACCCATCAGATCTCATGAGACTTGTTCACTATCATGAGAATAGCATGGGAAATACCAGCCCCCATGGTTCAACCACCTTCCCCTGGGTGCCTCCCACAACATGTGGGAATTCTGGGAGATACACTTCAAGTTGAGATTTGCATGGGGACACAGCCAAACCATATCAATAAGTATATATGTATCTAAACATAGAAAAGTAAATATAGCAGATTTATTGTAAATTTAAATACAGTAAAATTACATATTACAATGTTGTGGGACCACCACTGTATATGTCATCTGTTGTTGACCAAAATATCATTATACAGCATGTGACTGTATTCTCCACCTATCCACATTGCTATTTGTTGTGAAACTCAGACCTCCTCTCAGTTGAAGGTCCTAGGGATTAAGAAGTTCTTCCTGTTAGCAAGGCTCAGCTAGGACTAACCTTTTCAGGTATGCTTCCAATCTGGTTATTGCTGCTGAAATGGAAACAAGGATAAGGAAATAAAACCCATCATGGATGGATGCAAAAGGCTTTCATCACATTCTTCATTCTAATGCTTTGAACAGAGATAAAGCAAGCAATGAGATCTCACACTAGGTTCCACCAACAATCCCCAACACCAGTGGCCTTGAACACTGTTTCAGTCAAGCTATCCAAGGGCCTTCCTCTCTTGTTGCATAAAGGGGCAGTTAAGAATAGCTTCACCAGAGATTTTGAAGTACATGTATTCTGAAAACACTTGGGCTTTCTTCTGTAGCATCCACCCTTGGACAAAGAGTGACTAATTAAGATAAATTTCTAGCTTACATAATGTCCCTTGCACAAGAATATGTTTGCACTCTAGAGTGTTGACACTGGCAAATGGGGCCAGACTTTTGGCAGGTTTTTCAAAAAAACAATGCCAAACTGGCTAACTTCCTATATTTCTCTAGTCTTTTTTGGAAAATACCTAGAACACTTTCCAAGAAATTAGTTTAGGTCATTCAGAGTTTATTCTGGATAGTACTGTGTTTATTGTTGCATAAGACTCTAAGTCAGCATCAACTCGCCTTCCAGACTCAAGCCAGTTAATGCTAGCATTAACACATGGACCTTTTTGCTCTGGGAATGAGGCAACTCAAGGTTCTAGGAGGAAACACAAATTATATTTCTGGGTGACTCGAATTGGCCATGACCTCACTACAAATACTGAGGCTTTGAAGGAACTCTGGTTCATAAGAGAACAATACTATCTAAAAAATTTGAAAAGCTAAGAGTTTCTGTGTATCTTTTTTCCTGGCTGGTGGAAGTAAGCATGGTAGGAAGGGAAGAGGACAAAGCATGAAGCCAGTGACTGAGTTTGAACCTGGGCTTTCATATTCCCTAGCTAGTTACATCAGATAGTTTAGTGGGAGACAAAGTGTTCAATGGTCAAGTCTTCATATCAAATTTCAATAAATCCAAGTTCAATTTAAATATCATTTCATCATAAAATATATTTCTAGTCCAATAATAATTTAATTATGACAATTTTATTAATTTTTTAATTGACAATTTAAAAAAATTTGACCTGCTGCAGGAACAATAATTTATCAGTACTGTCAGGTAGTAGATTTCTCCTATGATTACACTGTAAATTTGCAATACCAAATACTCACTCATCTTCCAGTGCAGGTAGTTGAGGAACAACATATTTTTTGGACAATTCTGCTAGTCTCAGATACTGCTAATAATGGTGTTGGCACCCAGACATTGAGTATTCCTTTCTTCCTAGTAGTAATTTAATCAGATAAAGACTTATCTTCTCTTATCATCTACTAAATGAATTTTATTGAAACTGCTACAAATGGAAGCTTTGTTTACTGCTTCAATAAGATGCTTTCTGAATATTTTTAGAAGCCAACTTAAAATTTTTCTATATAAAATTAACGTTTTTCACAGTAATCATGTTATTGCAGAATTTTACTAACTGCTAGAATTTCAATATGTAAAGCACATAAGTAGATTTTGACTTTATGCCTGGAATCTACCCTATATTTGAAAGTGAATATTCGGTAATTAGTGATACATTCAAATAGTAAGTCCTGTTTGTTTTATTTTCATTGTACTGATTAGATTTGATTTTATCTGGTGGTTGGTATTACCATTGATCATAAACATGTCCAGAAATGCTAAAAGCCTTGAAGACTATCCAGCCTTCCAAAGGCTAGGGATGAAGTCCAACTCAAAGAACAGAGTTCGGTCAAATCTTTAGGCTGACTCTAAGCTATATAAGGGCAGGCAGTTTGCTTAACCTTTCTAATCTTTACTTTCTTTATCTGAGAAAGTGGTCACCACTTCTTTCCACCTTTTACTAAACTGCTGTAAAGATAAGAGACAATAGACTTACACACTCCTTCTGAATGGTAAATGTTTATATATACACAAATTACTGTTCTTAGTTATTTTAGAAATGTCGGCACATCTTCTATTACACAAGCATAGGGGGAGACACAGTGTGTCAGCATGACTGGTGTCTGCAGATACTTTGTTCCTCAAAATCTCCAGATCAGGTAGCCCATCATTAAGCTGTATTTTGCAATAATCACTGTGTCCCTCTCATCCCCCAACACAACCCACTTCAGACTCTGACTGCCTCATGTCTGGCCTGTATAATTAACCTCATTAATGCACTGTCTGTCCCCAGGACCCTCTTGACCATTCTGTCCCAAACACCAGGATCAGATTCTTTTTTTTTTTTTTTTTTGAGACAGAGTCTTGCTTTGTCACCCAGGATGAAGTGCAGTGGCATGATCTCGGCTCACTGCAACCTTCACCACCTGGGTTCAAGCGATTATCCTGCATCAGACTCCTGAGTAACTGGGTTACAGGTGTGCACCACCACACCTGGCTAATTTTTTGTATTTTTTAGTAGAGATGGGTCTTCACCATATTGGCCAGGCTGGTCTTGAACTCTTGGCCTCAAGTGATCAGCCCACCTTAGCCTCCCAAAGTGCTGGGATTACAGGCATGAGCCACCACGCCCAGCCGCAGGATCAAATTCTTATCATGTCATTTTAAACTCCAGTGTTGGTCCCCGCCGCTTACTGGATAAAGTCTGAACTGTCTTTGAAGCCCTTCACAGTCTGGCTGCAGCCTACATTTAGAATCTTACTCTTCTCTTTCCCACTCCCTATGGTCCAATCAAATCACACTGCTTGTTTTCTTTCCATGTGACTTTTGGCTTTTGTGAGTTAGCATCTCAGATAGCATCTCTTTTTATGCTATGCCTTTTACACAAAATACCCTTTTCTTACCCTCTTGATTATAGAAATCTTGCCTACCATTCCAGGTTCACTTCATATCCATAGTATGTAGTAGTTTATGATATAGGTACATATGTATATCAAATATGCATGTATGTGTATGTATGTGCATATTTAATTTCATTCAATTATATAAATAATACAGGCTCTTTAAAAAAATTAATACATAAAACTATAAAGAAGAAAATAAAAATTACTTGGAATTCCAACTTCAGATAACCACCACGAACAATTTTGTGACTCTCCTTTCTTGTATTTCTTTATGTATGAATACAAAAAGATATATATTTATCCTGTTATATAAGTGGTATAAAATCATACCTATCTTTTTAAATCACATCTAGTTTTATATAGAAATAAAACCTTGGGTTTTGTTTTGTTTATTGCAAACAAACAATAACTTTTTTTTGTTTATTGCAATAACAAAAAACAATAACTTTGTTTTGTTTATTGCAAATAAACAATAAACTCCTTTCTCATGCTGTTCAAACACCATTCCCTCTGACAAACTCGCCACAAGTAAGCAATATTAACAAGTCGCTGCTTATTTCCTCATACCTTTCTTTATGCACTTATAATCAGATGTACTCTATGTTACTAGTTCACTTTCAGAGTAGACTCATAATCTAAATATGAGACTCATAAATATGGAAACTCCTCCAATTACTTAATATAGAGTTAATCCATTAAAATTTTAAAAATCTATTTCTTTGTATATATGGCCACAAATGCAAATTTATAAAAATGCATACTTGTCTCATAGTATTTTTTGCCATTTTTATTTTTATTTCTTTTTCTTTTTTTCTTCTGTCTCTGTCTACATCTCTGTCTCTGTCTACTGTCTCTCTGTCTCTGTCTCTATGGCATGGCATCCTCTTCCTCTAATATATTCCTTTTAATGGCTACATAATATTACATATTCACATACCACACTTTATTATTTCCCTGTTGATGGCTATCCATTTTGTTTCCAGTTTTTTGCACTGAAACAATACTACAGTAAGTGTGTGTGTATGTGTGTGTGTGTGTGGGTGTATGCTCTTGATTTAATTTTTTGGATTACATTTTTAAGTCAAAAAGAATGTATAGTTCTATTTTTAATTGATATTAAATTGCTTTCCAAAAAGGCTGTAGTATTCATATTCCATTAACAATGCATTTATGAGAATATATCTCAACTTTATAAATTAATCTGAGTCTTATCTGAGAGTTAATATGATCCTCTCATTGACCTGTTAATTTGCATTTCCATGACTACTGGAAAAGAGGAAAGTCTCTTCATATGTAAAATGATCATTTAGATTTGCTCTTGTGTGAATTACCTATTCCTATCTTTTTGTATAAGTTGCCTATTCTTATCCTCACATTCAGGTTGGGGTATCTTTTTCCAATCAAAGCAATTTGTATACTTCTGTGGTAGACAGCCTTCTAAAATGGTTCTCTATGATTCCACATCCTGATATTTGTGCTGTTGTATAACTCCCTCCTATGAGTGTGGGCTGGATGTAGTGGTTTGCTTCTGAAGATTAGTATATGGCAAAAGTGGTGGGATATCACTTCTGCATTTAGGTTACAAAAGACTATGACTTCCATTTTGTCAGTTTTCTCTCTGTGGCTCTTCTTTATGCTTGTGTGATGGAGAGGGCCACTTGGTGAGGAACTGAGATGACCCCTATCCAATAACCTGTAAGAAACTTAGGCCCTTATCCCAACAATCCTCGAGGAAATGAATCCTTTGAACATCCACATGAGCTTGGAAGCAGATCCTTCCTCAGTCAAGCCATTAGATGAGACTATAGCCTGGTTGGCATCTTGATTGCGGCATTATGAAAGATTCTGAAGCAGAAAACTCAATAATGTGGCCTGGATTTCTGACCCACAAAAACTTTGAGATAAAAATGTACGTGGTTTTAAGCTGCTAACTTTGAGGTTATTTATTTTATAGCATTAGATAATCAATAAAATTGTATGTGTTAGATTTTTATCTGGAAAATACATTGCAGATATTTTCCCTGATCTTTCATTTGTTCAGCTTTGTTTATGACACCTGTATTAGTCCATTTTCATACTGCTATGAAGAAACACCTGAGACTGGGTAATTTATGATGAAAAAGAGGTTTAATGGACTCACAGTTCCACAGGCTGGGCAGGCCTCACAATCTTGGTGGAAAGTGAAGGAGAAGCACAGGCACATCTTACATGGTGGCAGGCAAGAGAGCATGTGCAGGGGAACTGCCCTTTATAAAACCACCAGATCTCATGAGACTTATTCACTATCATGAGAACAGCATGAGAAAACCTGCCCCCATGATTCAATTACTTCCCACCAAGTCCCTCCCATGACATGTGGGGATTACGGGAGCTCCAATTCAAGATGAAATCTGGACTGGGCATGGTGTCTCATGCCTGTAATCCTAACACTTTGGGAGGCCGAGGTGGGTGGGTCATTTGAGGTCAGGAGTTCAAAACCAGCCTGGCCAACATGGTGAAACCCCATCTCCGCTAAAAATACAAAAAGATTAGCCAAGCATGTTGGTGGGCATCTGTGATCCCAGCTACTGGGGAGTCTAAGACAAGAGAATCACTTGAACCTGGGAGGCAAAGGCTGCAGTGAGCCGAGATCACACCACTGCACTCCAGTCTGGGTGACAGAGTGAGATTATTTCTCAAAAACAAAAAAAAAGGTGAAATTTGGGTAGGGACACAGCCAAACCATATCATTCCACCCCCCGCCCCTCGCAGATCTCATGTCCTCGCATTTCAAAACACAATCATGCATTCCCCACAGTCCCCCAAAGTCTTAACTTATTCCAATGTAAACTCAAGTCCAAAGTCTCATCTGAGACAAGGCAAGTCCCTTCTGCCTAAGAGCCTGTAAAATCAAAAGCAAGTTAGTTACTTCCTGGATACATTGGGGGTACAGGCATTGCGTAAATATACACAGTCCAAAGGGGAGAAATTGAAAACAAAACAAAGGGGCCACAGGCCCCATTCAAGTTCAAAATTCAATAGTGCAGTCATTAAACCTTAAAGTTCCAAAATGATCTCCTTTGACTCCGTGTCTCAAATCCAGCTCATGCTGATGCAAGAGGTGGATTCCCATGGCCCTGGGCAGCTCTACCCCTGTGGCTTTGCAGGGTACAGTCCCCCTGTAATCTGCTTCCACAGGCTGGCACTGAGTGTCTGCTGACTTTCCAGGCATGCAGTTCAAGCTGTTGGTGGATCTACCATTCTGGGGTCTGCAGGATGGTGGCCCTCTTCTCATAGCTCCACTAGGCAGTGTCCCAGTGGGGACTCTATGTGAGGGAGGCTTCAACCCCACATTTCCCTTCCACACTGCCCTAGCAGAGGTTCTCCCTGAGGGCTCCACCTCTGCAGCAAGCTTCTGCCTGTACATCCAGGTATTTCCATACATCCTCTGAAATCTAGGTAGAGGTTCCCAAATCTCAATTATTGTCTTCTATGTACCTGCAGGACCTATACCACATGGAAGCTGCCATGGCTTGGGGCTTGAACCCTCTGAAGCAACAGCCTGAGCTGTACCTTGGCCCCTTTTAGCCATGGCTGGATGGGCTGGGATGCACGGCACCAAGTCCCTAGGCTGCACACAGCAGGGGGTCCTGGACCTGGCCCAGAAAACCATTTTTCCCTCCTAGGCCTCTGGGTCTGTGATGGGAGGGGCTGCTGTGAAGGTCTCTGACATGTCCTGGAGACATTTTCCCTATTATCTTGGTGATTAACATTAGGCTCCTCGTTACTTACACAAATTTCTGTAGCTGGCTTGAATTTCTCCTCAGAAACTGGGTTTTTCTTTTCTATCGCATTGTCAGGCTACAAGTTTTCCAAATTTTTATGCTCTGCTTCCTCTTCAATGCTTTGACGCTTAGAAATTTCTTCTGCCAGATACCCTAAATCATCTCTCTCAAGTTCAGAGTTCCACAGATCTCTGAGGCAGGAGAAAAATGCCACCAATCTCTTTGCTAAAACATAACAAGAGTCATCTTCACTCCTGTTTCCAACAAGTTCCTCATTTCCATCTGAGACCACCTAGCCTGGACTTTATTGTCCATATCACTATCGGCTTTTTGGTCAAAGCCATTCAACAAGTCTCTGGGAAGTTTCTAACTTTCCCACATTTTCCTGTCTTCTTCTGAGCCCTCCAAACTGTTCCAACCTCTGCTTCTTACCCAGTTCCAAAGTCAATTCCACATTTTTGGGTATCTTAATAACTGTACCCCACTTTACCAGTACCAATTTACTGTATTAGTCTATTTTCATACTGCTATGAAGAAATACCCAAGACTGGGTAATTTATAAAGAAAAAGAGGTTTAATGGACTCACAGTTCCACATGGCTTGGGAGGCCTCACAATCATGGTGGAAGACAAAGGAAGAGCAAAGGTACATCTTACATAATGGCAGGCAAGAGAGCATGTGCAGGAGAACTGCCCTTCATAAAACCATCAGATCTCATGAGACTTATTCATTATCACGAGAACAGCATGGGAAAAACCTGCCCCGAATGATTCAATTATCTCCCACTGGGTCCCTCCCATGACATGTGGGGATTATGTGAGCTACAAATCAAGTTGAAATTTGGGTGGGGACACAGCCAAATCACATAAACATCTTTTCCCATACAGAATTTAAAACTTTTACATAATCAAATATGTCTATTTTTTCTTTCACGGCTTTTAGATTTAATAGAGTATAAGTGTGTCTCCAGCACCTATGTAATATCTAAAATCTCTTAAATGTTTTGCTAATATTCTTAGTACTTTATTTTTTTTAACTTAATATTATTTTTGACTTAATATTATTGGGGAAAATACATGAGAGTGATTCTCAGATCTTCTTTTTCTATATCTCCATTTTTCAAATTAGAAGTAACATTGATTTCTTTTTAATACACTTTTGAAGTACATTATCTACTGACCATTGAATACACTTTTGAAGTACATTATCTACTCAGGGTACAATCCAATTTTGTTAAGCATTCCATATTCTCAGATTATAAAACATTTTTCTTCTAGAAAAAAATAAGGATAACTGAAGTAATTCCAGAGCAAAGCAGTGATAAAGAAATTAAAATGATTGTAAGACTCCAGAAAGGAACGCTTAGATTCTTATTTATTTCACAAATATTTATTGGAGGCATTCTGTCTGCCAAGGACCATACTAGGTTCTGAAGTGTAAAAGGGTAAAGAAGACAGATACCTTCATGGGATCTTTGTACAGGCACTAAACCAGGTATTGCAAGTGTGGTGAATAATACAGGGGGATAGGAAACTGTTGCAGGACTTTTCTTTAGTTCAGCTAAAGACAGGGTTCTTCTCTGTCCCACGGCCATGAAAATTTGGGCTGTCAGATGGCTTAAAGGGTGAGTAAAGTAGGGTTTTATTGGGTGAAAAGGGAAAAACCTGAGGAACAGGGACTCTTGCAAGGCCAGAGTCCCTCTGTTAGAGTGCTTCCCTCCTGGCAGTTTGAATCCCAGGTTCCACACAGGAAGGCGAGGGACCAGGTTCCTCCCTGCTGCAAACATTATGAACTTCCTGAGGCTCCACCTCAGTGGGCAGGCTGTTTGGAGTTTCTCCAGGGACTCCCTCCCACCTGGCTGTCTCATTCTCCCCTCTAAAGAAGTACATCTAACTGCCATTGGATTAAGGACAAGGACAAAGACCGATCTTAAATCCTTCCTGCTGACAGGGGGTGTTGTTTTGGGGAAACAGCAGTCAGAGCTCTCTCAGAGGCTGATATAAGGGTCCCCAGCAAAAGGGGCCATTGTCAGAGGTTCCAGTTGCATGACTGTTTGGAGTTTGGTGGCCTGAAGGCAAGAACCGACAAACCAGGTTATTAGAAAACATGTATCAAAACAAAACAAGGGGAGGGGTAAAGACAGCTCAAAAATTCTGAGGCCTTTTACCAGTTTGCTCAGGGAGAGGAAGGCCAAAAGCCCAACTGGCAAAAAAAACTTTACCCTTTTGCTGCATATCAGGTGTCTGGGTTCACTTCCTGTGGGCCCCAGCCCTAAGCCAACCAGTTTAAGGTTTGGGGAATTAACTCTTTCCAATTTGGAGGGTGCATCTGAGGGGAGTGTCTTGTAATATGGAGACATGATTACCTATTGGCGAAGAGACAACAAAAGAAGAGAAAGGAATAAAAAGAAGGTGTATTTTTCAAAGAAGTCCCAGGGGTTCAGGATGCATTCTAAAGGGGAACAGACTGAAGATGAATGGCTACCCATCTAGAAAGAAGGGAGCAGGCATCCTTGGTTCCCTTCTCTTCCTAGCAGATACCCAGGGTACATGAGGGAAAGAAGGAAGAGCATCCTCTTTCCCTCTTCCATCCTTGCATCCCCGAGTCCTGGTGACCTTGTCAGGTCCCACCATGAGTGCCAAAGCAGCTTGTACCCATGAAGCAGGGGGGCCTAGGGGGTAGGAATCATCTGCTCTTACCCACATATGCCCTATCTCCCCTGCTGTCAGTGGTCTTGGATTCCCTAGGCCTCATTTATGCCATGGATACTAACATGGCCTTTATCCATGAAATAGGAAGCTTGGGGTTGGCTTAATTGACAGGAATCAGCCATGCTCACCTGCACTGTGCTTTTTAACCTCTGTTGTCATTTGCCTCTGGATCCCTTAGATCCAGTTTTCTTTCCTAGGGCTTTGACCTGAAGCTTGGAATTGAGTCTGGGACAAAAATGTGTCTGGAGGAGTTGGGGAATAGTGGGGAGGTGTTTGTATGGACTCCTTATCATAAACCAAATGCTAAGGTGAAACTGTGGAACTGAGTCCTCCAACAAGGGGGAGGAAAGGATGTCTTGTGACACATCCAGATAACTGGTGGCTATAGTTATGCTTGCTAGGATTTGGGTGCATGGTGCTTAGCTTTGGTTAGTTCCCTTGGTCTTCCTTTCCCAAAAAGGAAACCTTCGCATGATGTGCATCACCTGGCAGTATTTGCAGGATAATTGCTCAGAACTAGAATATTGATCCGAATTTCTATATTACCCACCCCTTTTGTTCTTTCTGAGCTGCAGCCAGGGATTGCTAGTTGATTCACAGGAGCAAACCTAAAATGTAGGCAAAGACTTAAAAACAACTAGTGAGTTTAGAATTTAATGACAAATGTATGATAAGTTTTCAAATATGATTTCTCTCTCTCCAGTCCTCATATTTATTAAAAAACAAATCATCATAGGAACTGAGTGGTTTGCAAAACAGACTTTAGCTTTATACTTGGCCTGATTATTTGCATAAAGTGCAGCAAGAATAATTATTTCTACATAGGCCTTTTGGATTGGCTTTGATGGAATTCTGTTCCACAAGGAATCTCAGATAAGACCTTTTAAAGCCAAGCCCAACCATGGGTTTGTATCCTCAAATACCTGTGAGTTGGGTGATCCTCTCCTCTTAAGGTCCCAAGATAAACTTGAAGCTCCTAGAGCTGTTAGTGACATTCTTTACTGACCACAGGTCAGTAACCCTGTACAGGGACTGTGTAGGTGATAGTATGAGGCTAGTTTCCCCACTAGGCTTTTATTGACTCTGCAAATCTAGATTGACTCCTGAAAGGGAAGCATACCCTTCCAGTCAAAGCCTTGGTAAAATTACCAGTTTTTCCAACTGTGTCCTGTTGCAAAAGAAAAATGGAGTCTTACTGCACTGATGCAAACAACTATATTGCCATAAGAATACTCACAGTTTCCAAATTCTAGAGAAACCAGGCAGAGAGAAACAAACATGCTCCAAATCTTGATCACAGGAGTGTATACCTTACTTAATTATTAAAGGCCATAAATAGCTCAAAATAAGTTTCCTTGGCTCTGAAAAACTAAAAAAGGATCACCAATATTCCAAGCAAAAGTAAAAAGGTTTCTTCAGCTTTCTGAGTTCAGTCCATTTAGTTAACTCTGGTTTTGCTCGATATTCGTGAACATTTCAGCTCTTCATGAGTCTTGTACATTTTCCTTTATTCCAATGTTACAATCTGCAAAGTTATCAGAAACCTGATTGTCTCAAATAAAATCAGAAATTGTATCTGAAAGCACTTATCAGAGTCTTATACCCTATTATAAACCATCTTTTGAAAAGAATTAAAACAAGACAACAATTGTCTGTGAATAGCAAAATGTCCAGGGTAGTTAAAATTAGAAACACAATTGACAAAGAAGCTTGGTTATCCCTGTGGTTTACAATAACTTAACATAAAAACCTTAATTGTGATTGATAGCATATACTCAGACATTAGAATTTTAGAAATCCCATGCAATTTTGGAATATATATTAGCATTATTCACCAAGATATAACCTAAAGAAGACTGAGCATCATTTTGGCAATCCCATGTACCTAAACATGCCAAATAATCCTGTTTACCTCTCTTTTCTGGACACTTTAGGGGCCCTCTTAAGTATTCGAAAAGCCAGATGCCAGGGAAGACAATTTTGAAACTTTTCAAAATTTTGATTTTGAGAAGGCTGTTCAAGGTTCAAGGTTAAATGTTCAAGGTTCAAGGTTAAATGTTCAAGGTTTAAAACACTTGATATTACGAAAGAGAGTTCCAGATTATCATACGTGATTTCTATTGCCAAAATGATGACTTAGACATTTAAAGAAGCAAAAACCTTTTATAACCCCTTTAAATTTAGTTAATAAGTTCACACAGAGAACCTCTTCTGCAAGATTAATTTCCACAATTCTTCCGCCACTTCTTCGGCTTTTCCTATCTTACTCAAAACTAAAGTTCAAAGCTGAACCCCTTCCAGCCAGCGGGCTGTGCAGGACCCTTGGGCTATGAGTCCCAGCCTCTGCAGGAAGGGGAGGGGGAGAGAGGACTTCCTGCTCACCTGTCCTTCCCAAAAAAGGAAGGAAAGGGCCTTTCTCCTGACCCCCCCGCCCCCGGGAGCCACCAGGTTTGGGGGCATCTTTCCCTCACCCTCAGAAGTCGGAGGATGAAAATGCTTAGGAGCAACAGAGAGAAGTTTTGAGTCCCCATTTCACTCACGGCTTCTCAAGCCACCACGTTGTGCGTCAAAAATGTTGCAGGACTTTTCCTTAGTTCAGCTAAAGATGGGGGTTCTTGTCCCTCCCACGGCCATGAAAATGAAAATTTAGGCTGGCCCATGGCTTAAAGGGTGAGTAAAGCAGGGTTTCATTGAGTGAAAAAGGAAAAACGGGGGAAACTCCCTCTGCTAGAGCACTTCCAGCCCGGCAATTTGAATCCCAGGTTCCACACAGGAAGAGGAGGGGCCAGGTTCCTCCCTGCTGCAAACACGGTGAACTTCAGAGGCTCCAACTCAGTGGGCAGGCTTGTTGGAGTTTCTCCAGGGACCCCCTCCCACCTGGCTGTCTCACAAGGACAACATGTGGCAAGGAACCCTAACAAAGACCATGATGGAGAAGACACATTTAAGCTGAGAGGTGAAGGGTGAGAGCCCTGAAAATCCGACAAAAGAAGTCCCAGACAGAGGAAACAGTCTGAGTAACTTTCTAGGTGAGAGTGAGCATGACACAATTGAGAAACTGAACAGGGAAAGATTAATGAGCTAGAGTTCCAGGTATATGTGAGCAGCAAGAGCTGAGCTGGTGAGGTAGTAGGCACCAGGTGGTGGAGAACCTCATAAATGATGCAGTGGAATTGACACTGTATCCTTATAGGAATAGAGAGCAATAGAATGATTTCAAGATTGAGAGTGTCATGATGAAATCTGTATTTTAGAAGTTGCTCAACTTACAGTTTGGAGAACGAATTGAAACAGAAATTAAATTGAGGAGACCACTTAAAAGACTGAATAAGTCAAGTTTCAGAATTGCAAACAACCTTAGCTAATTTAAAAAGTTGGGCTAGGGCCAGGTGCAGTGGCTCATGCCTATAATCCCAGGACTTGGGGAGGCTGAGGTGGGAGGATCCTTGAGCCCAGGAGTTCAAGAGAAGCCTGGGCAACATGGTGAAACCCTGTCTCTACAAAAAATACAAAAAATTAGGCAGGCATGGTGGCCCACGCCTGTAGTCCCAGCTACCCAGGAGGCTGAGGTGCGAGGGACACCTGAGCTGGGAGGTCGAGGTTACAGTGAGCCATGATCGCACCACTGCCACTCCAGCCTGGGCAACAGAGTGACATCTTGTCTCAAACAAAGTTTGGCTGGGAAGGTGAGATAATTTAACAGTAGCTGGAGAGGACATTGGGTCAAAGGAGTTTTTTTCGTTGGATTTTTAGTTTGGTTTTAACACAGGAAAGAGCTAGTTCAGAATAAATGTCTGAAGATACATGAAAGAATATAGCAAACCAAAATTGATATAGGCTATTAATTGGAACCCTCAACAAGGTGATTTTTTAAAAAAATTTGGCTAATATTTAATGGGGATGGGAAACTGACTTTTAATATAAAAGAAATGGCATAGCTTATTATTAAAATTCTGATTCAAATAAGGGATCTCTAAGCACTAAACGTTATACAGCGTTTAATTTATTTGGAATTGTCTTATATTTCAGAGATTTTTTTTTACTCAAAACTGGATATTTACTCATTCCAAATCTCTATGGATAAAAGTAACTTAAGCATGTTAGCTACAGGTTTTGTTCAAAATATTTTGAAGTCCTTTTTTCCTAGATTCATGTTGGCAAGAAGTTTTCCAATTTTTCTGTACTTCTTTCTGTTATAATTTTCAAAATCAGGTAATATTTTGGGTGTATTTATTAGATAAGTCACTCTCTCCTGCAAAACAGTATTATTCTTTATGTTACAATGTACTCTACATTACAAGGATGGCAGCTTATGTAGGGGGTAGTTGTAAAGTCAAAGTCCTAAGTGATAATAATGTTTTCTCAAATTAATTCTTGGGTATCCCTTACACTAAATATAAGTGGAGTGTCCATGGTTTGGTATATACACTGCTCTATGGTAATATGCATGTATACATGTGTAAACTAGACAGTGATGTCAAGGATATAATAGCCTGTACATATGCAAAGTATAATTCTAGAGTATTTTTAATTATGGGGTAACGAGGAGAATGAAAGCATTTTTTTAAAAGAAAAACAATAATGCTAAGTAAACCCTATACATTCTGAATATCTTTGTGTGACTCTGAGGATAATAATGGTGATTCACCACAGTGACTGATGCTGACAGTAATGATTACTCCAGTGTCTGTGTGATGAGGAATGAGATAATGAAGATGGGCCTTGTACACACTCCAGGGATTAGTTTTTCTCCTCTCTGACAGCACTATTTTGGGTCATATGAGCAGTGAGGGGACCTGCAGGCAGAATTGCTCATAATATTTAAATTGTTATTTGCTCAGCTCTCACTTTTATTCTTACTCTCTCTTTAGTGGTTCATATATAATTGATTTTATATAATCAAATACACGTTTGATGTTTCTCCACTGTGTTAGGCTTGAGGATTTCACTTGCCTCCAAACAATTGTCAGCTGGCCAACTTCATTGTTGGCAACACTGCGATTCTACTTATACATCCTTGCATCCTGCAACGGGAAAGATCACAAAAACTCATTTGTGATGGACCAGAGTCAGAGGAATATGCTTCTTTGTTTCATTTTGTTTGGTTTAAATTTCTATTCAGTAAGAAACAGGCCAATTTATGCTTTGTTTATATAGGAAAACCTAAATTAACTGTTACTGTTCTTCTCTAATTATTTCAAGGATGCTCTTCACTTCTTACAAATTGGCATGCCAGGCTGCTGCTCAGGTAATCTGCCTCTTGGACCGGCTCTGAAAATGGGACAATGATCAGTGCAAGATCCCTGAGATGCTGAGACACGATGGGATGGAAGAAAGCTATGGGACAAGTGGCCTTTCATAGGAGGAGGAGCTCCTTGTCAAATGTGAGGAGCGAAGCAGGACAGGAGCATGAGAACAGGTAGGTGTAGAGATGTGGAGACTTCCCATTTGCTGAGATAGGTGAGAGATTCAGAAGTTTGACAGGAATTTTGACATGGAAATGGGAAGACAAACTGACCAGGGAAACAAAGATTGCCCGGCTGTTCCATTTGAGAGCCCAGCTGAAGGTGATGACCATGCTTTTATGAGGACAGCAATCTGACCAGCTGTCAATCTTGCTGTAGCAGTCTTAGCAGGCTGGGTTAAGGTAGAGGAGCTCTTCATTTCAGGAAGGACAGTATCAGAAACCTGAGGAGAGAACCAAATTACAAAAGACTAAGGAGTTAAGACATGAACGTAAATGTCTTAGTTTATTCCTGCTGTTATAAATAGTACCTTAAATTGGGTAACTTATAAATAGTAGAAATTCTATTTCTCACTGTTCTGAAGCCTGGGAAGTCTAACAGATTCAGTGTCTGGGGAGGGCTTGCTCTCTGCTTCCAAGATGGCACCTTCTTCTTACTGCATCCTCACATGGCAAAAGGGCCAGTTCATCTTCTGAAGCCTTTTTTTTTTTGAGACCGAGTCTCGCACTGTCACCTGGGCTGGAGTGCAGTGGTGTGATCTCAGCTCACTGCAACCTCTGCCTCCCAGATTCAATCGATTCTCCTGCCTCAGCCTCCTGAGTAGCTGGGATTACAGGCACCTGCCACCATGCCCAGCTAATTTTTTGTATTTTTAGTAGAGAAGGGGTTTCACCATGTTGGCCAGGCTGGTCTCGAACTCCTTACCTCATGATTCGCCTGCCTTGGCCTCCCAAAGTGCTGGGATTATAGGCGTGAGCCACCGTGCCTGGCCCTGAAGCCTCTTTTATGAGGGCATTCATTCCATTCTTGAGTGTTTGGCCCTCACGACTTAATCACTTCCTAAAAAGCCCACCTCTTAATACCACCACAACGGGGATTGAGTTTCAACATGAACTTTGAAGGGACGCAAACATCTAAACCCTAGCAGTAGGTTGATTAAAGAGTCAGGTAGACATTTCTAAGGCAGTGGGGCATATAGGTGTGGAGGCCCGGGAGTGCTGACATGTGGAAATGCAACAGTCATGAAGCTGCAGTCGTTAACGTAACTGACAAAACCTGTACAGCATTAACAGGCTGTTTAATTTTATGCCAAGTCCATAATTTTTGCAGCATGTACCCCTAAGCTTGTTCCAATTGCAAATATTAGTCATAAATTTTATGATCCAAATAGTGATTTCTACTTTTTGAGCACGGGGAAGGCTAAGCATAACAGGTTGACTTGGGGAGGAAGAGTCCCATTTCCTCCTGGGAACTGAAGGGCCTCTAATAGATGGTTCACTGCCCCTCTAGACAGACCTTAAGGGATTAAGTCAGCCCTCAAGTGAGTGTCTAGGAAACACAGCCATAGCTATGTGACTCACCTGGGAAAGCACTAGTTCCAGGCATGCTGGGACAGATGTCCTACCCCAGAGCATACAGTCAGTGTACTTTTAGCCAAGACTCAGGGAAGACACAAAAAAAAGGTCCTCTTCTTTTCTTGGTCACAGAACATAGAGGTGTATAAAAATCTTTACTTTAAATAAGTGGCATGAGACAAGAGGAAACTGGGCACTAGTCCTTGTTCTGATAGTTTCTGTGGAATGTAGAGGAAATTATTTCACCTAGTGGCTGAATGGTGCAAGGGTTTTGTTTCTGGACTCTGAAGCCCCATGCTGTGGGTCCAATCCCACCATCTCCATTGATTATAGTAACTGTATGACCGGGGAGTGTTATTCAAGCTCATGTATCCTGATTTACTTTTGTATACGATAGAAAAAATATTGGTTGTGGGTAGTAAATGAGATAATATTTGCTAAGGTACAGTGCTTGGCACATAGTGAACACTTGGTAAAGTCTGATGCTTGTATGGGCCTGTTTTCTCTAAAATGAAGTTCTTGGACTACTATCCTTTTTTTTAGCTCTGAAGCTCTACGATTCAGTGATGAAAATAATTTTTTATTATTGTTCCATAGTAGGAGTCAGCAAACTTTTTCTGTAAAGATCTATAGTCTCTGGCATTACTACTCAATTCTGATATTGTAGTGTGAAAGCAGCCACAGACAGTACGTGAAAGAATGGGCATAGCTGTGTTGCATCAAAACATTATTTACAAAACTAGGCTGTGGTTGAGAGTTGACCCATGGGAAGTTATGTGCTGACCTTTGTTGTATAGAATTTTAAAAAGTGGAGAAAAGTGAAATGCAATTTGTAATGGAAAAAGGACACAGCAAATCATGTACTGTAAAATTGTATAAGCTTATAACATATTTGTGTAGCCCAAAAACTTTTTTTATATTGAGCATATGAAAGAAAGCAGATGCTCTACAACCAAAGTGGATAATAGAAATACAATAAACGGCATTCATAAGCTTAAATGTTTATAAACCTGGGCATAAATATATAAAATAAGTGAAATGGAAAAGAGTAGCCCAGAAATTCATATTTGCTGCAAGTTGAAAGAAGACAGGAAGGTGGAAATCATGCAAAAAGCATAAGAAACTAAAGTTGTAGCAAAGAGCTAATGTTCCTTCTGACTCCATAATTAAAGAGACATGCATTACACCGGTTCAGTGACTTGCAGAGTGATTGCTCAAACTTCAAATCACCTTTGATCTGATAGGGTCATCTGAATATTACAATGACTGAACTGTGGGCTACTCTCCTTATTAAGTTAGCCCAGTGACTAGCAATCACCCAGCAATCAGGCCTTCATGGCATCTGGTACCTTGACAAACAATATCTGACTTTACAGTAGCTATACTTTCCATGAGCACAACCTGAAATTATGTTGGGAAAAGACAAAGAAGAAAAGTACAATAAGTGAAAAAGAGGCACGAAACAAGAAAGGTAAAATGAAGAAATACTAATGTAGCAATGTAAAATTAGAGTCCAAATGCCTCACTGGGGCATCACTCTGGGAGACCTGGGAAATCACACACATGCTATAGCAAAGACCCTCACCATCCTCAGGTCTGTTGCAGCCCCCCACCGCCCCCAGCTGCTCCACAGATGTCTCTGTGCCACACTACATTTCTCCCCACTGCCAGGGATCCCCTGGGGTTGTTCTCTTAACTAGAGTTTACTCATTCTAGAAAGAGCAAACAGGATATTATTTGAGCAAATAATTTACTCTTTGTCTTTTTCCTTCCTTTTGTTTCAAACATCCTAATACCTGACAGAAAACTCGATATCGACCTTTTTTATCTTGTGCCAAGGCTTAAACCCTTTAAAGAAATGGTGCCAGGTACCCCAGAGAGGAAAGAGAGAAAAGATAATGACTTTCAAGTCCAGCAGAAATAGAAGGCAGGGATTTCCAGAGACCGTGTAAGGAGATGAACGTGAGAGGGTTTCTCTAATATTAGAGATCCACATATTGCTCCGTGGCCAACTCTGACAAAGGGAAGAGACCCCAAGGGTGGTTGCAGAGGGCACCTAAGGCTGGTCCTATAATCCAGTGCCCTCAGGTTGGCTGCTAGGGCTGACAGCCCCAACTGGACTGTAGCAACAGGCCATCTCAGTACGACCACAGCACATGACCAGAAGAACCAACCTGATGTTCTGACAATATATAAGTTTTTTGCACAGTCCTTGGAGGTGGGGAGTCCAATTGAGGACTGAAATTATATTTTCCACCAGCCTTGATGGAGGGGGAGCCAGGGCAGATTTCAACTGATTTAAATCTATGAAGAAACATAGTGATTCTTGAAAAATAGGATCTGTTGGCTGATATTCATATATCAACAAATATTTGGGAATGAGGGCTGGGAAGGAAGAGGAACTTTCCTATTCTAACTGGCACAGTCTCTGAATCTGAACCAGCAGGCTCCCTGTAGATCAGATCAGGTGTGTGGAGGCAGTGTGACCACAGTGGCTGAGAAAGAGCAGAGGGCTGCCCTGTAAATCCTTCAGGGGGTAAAAGAGGGCCCAGGAAAAAACATGGAGAGTGGGTGGAGTAACATAATTGAAAACAGCTTGGAAAAGTGGGCCTAATTTTTTTTGAACTAAAAATGAGTAAAATGTCTTTTCAAGAACTGAATATAAAAATGAAACCAAGAGATAAAGAAAACTCACTATATTTAGTTGTTCACACACACACACACACACACAGAGACAGCGAGAGAGAGAGCGAGAGAGAGTGCTAATACAGTAGCCACGCAATACATTAAGAAAATCTTCTCCTCCTGTACATTTAATAAGTTATCTGGTTGTGTGATGATCCAGTGCTTGGAGATCGGGGGAGCAAGAGGCTTCCTGACCCGCTAATAGACCTTAAGCGCCTGCGGACCCATTCTACTGGAAAGCAAAACTACTGGGGGTCGGGGTAGGCAGTGTGGCCTCTTCTGTCTGCAAACACTGTGACTTCTTGAGGAAAGCACTCGGAGCAGAGGAAGGGAGAAGGACACTGTCCAAGCAGGCCAGGTTAGCTGAGTCAGCTTTGGCAATCTGGACAGCTAGTGTGGTAGGCCATTTTCACACCCACTTTCTGACCTAACTCTCATTTCCAGTGAGATCAGTGGGATCTAGGTAGCAAGTTACTTGCTTAATCCATAGATTTGGTGTAATCTTCATTGTTGTTATAAATTATACCAGTCCCCTTATGTAATGTATCTTATTTAATTATTGTAATCGCACATGATCTTAGGCTCATTGTACATATTCTGAGCAATACGCAATTCCCCAGAGTGACTAGTAGAATAATTCAAACCAGAACCCACGCACTTACTTTCTCTTTATAATGCTGCTTCTAACAACACAGCAATATTTGCTTTCACCTGCATTCCACAGAGGTGGCACCAGTTGTGGGAAGAGATCAATGTCACAAAGCCACTGAAATCTGTTAAGGACCATGCAAGGTCAATGATAATTTATTTTGAAATGTCACATAAAGAAAGAAGGAATCACGTGAAAGAGAAAAAAAGGGCCTTTTAGAAATAATTAAGAAGGGCTAATACTTAGCACCTGGAAAATATGAGTTTATTTTTGTTGTGTTAATATACTCATTATTAAAGCCCAGTTCTGCACTGGGAAGTCCAATAAGTTGAACAGGCTTTGAAAAGACGAATCCAGACAAAACCACTGACTTCGTTTTATAAAATTGTATTGATTACCGTTATAATGAAAGAAAACATACATAAGGTTAGAAGGCAGCAAAGTGAATCTTTTCTATTTGAAGAATTAAGAATCCTTAGTACACAGGGATTATCCATTATCTGCAAATATGTTATTAGATTTCCTCTTTATGCATCCACCCTTTTTTTTTCTTAAAAAACTGTCACAGATGTGGTCTTAAAATCCCTGCAGTGTTCAAAAGAAGCAATACATTTTTCTACTCCTGCAATGTGAGCCAACCATCAACAGATGAACTAAGCCCAATCACTCCATTCCCTTTTTTATGATATTAGCATACTGGTAGATTAGCAAAATGCTGTTAATACTGTCTATCTTTGTTCATTGGTTTAGTCATTTGGTCAAAAAATATTTAATGAGCATCTAATATGTCCCAGGCACTGGAAAAACAGAGATGAATCAAATAGTGGACCCTGCCTACATGAAGCTGAATTTTGTAGTATAGGTGCATGGAATAACAAAGAATTGGGATGATATTTTGAAATATTATGAGAAGTCACCTTGTTTCTCGGAAAATCTTTTTACTTTGTGGTCTTTTCACCATTTAACCAGGCAGAGAAACTTAGGCTGATTGCCTCAGAGAAGAAAAGACACAAAAGAATCCAGCCAGAACAGAGTCAAATTACTGGCTGAGAATATAAAAAGAAAGCCTGGAAAGCTTTAATTTCTAAGCACCTGGCCTTTGGGGGAGAGGGAGTGGAGCTTATCTTTTGTTTTATATATTTTATTTTATTTCATTTATTTTATTTATTTCATTTATTTTCAAATTCTAAAACCTTGGCTCTGCTTCAATAGAGTAAAACCTGGAAGACTGACCAGTTTCTACCAAAAACCAGGGCATGGGGTTGAATGTATAAAATGCTTTCCTGCCTCAGAGGAGAAAGACCCTTTCTGTGTTGAGGGAGGAGCTTTGAGAAAGTTGAGAAAGCAGAGCTAGCGTGTTCAGATGCAAATGTGGGGTCTGCTGAAACCTCTGCATGGAGGCTGAGGAGATGGAAGGGTGCCACCTAGAAACATTTAGGATCTGAGAATAGAAGGTGCCCTGCTTTCCATCTGGAGTAGCCCTGCTGGCCTTCTGTTTGGTCATTGCCTATGCCAAACTACATGTTAAATATTTTTAACATTTTCCTTATACTGGGGAGTTTCAATGGGTTTTCATCAGAGGGTGTAATATGATGTGACTTGTGTTTTGAAAGATCACTGAGTGAAGATGAAGAGGATAGACTGGAGGAGGAATGCCCAGAGACCCACAGAAAACCTTGGAAGCAGTGGTACAGGCTTGAGGGGATGGCAGCCCCAGTTGCGAAGTGTCAGGACTGACTCAAGTTCACTTCTCAGGGAGAGGAAGGAGAGAGACTGTGGGATTGCTCCCAGATTGCTGGCACAGTGGGCTGAATGGTGGTGCCATTAATGGGTAGATAATTCAGGAGAAGGAGGGGGCTTAGGAAGGGAGATAACGAGTTCGGTTTTCATCTAGATGTGCTATGAAATCTTAAAAGTCCTTGAGAAATTGGAGAAATGTGAACTGGTTGATAATAAGGTAAGGAGGATTTGAAGCTAGTGGAACAAATAAACCCACTGTGTTTATTAATGAATCGTGATGCCTCTCAAGGGAGGTCTCTGGTTCTATTGGAGGGCTCTGCCCTTGGCCTAGTTTTTCAAGAACTTGGATGTAGACACAGAAGATATGCTCACCAAATTGCTGTATGATGCAAATATTGAAGAAATAGATATTACAGTAGATGACTGAATTAAAAATTCAGAAGGCTGAAGCAATTGTCTGAAAATAACAGGATGACACTTAGAATAAATATAAAGTCTTACATTTAGGTTTAAAGCAAAATAAATGGCACAGTTACAGGATCTGAAGGTCTGGCTTGGCAGCAATTTCTCCCAACAATTAAATCGGGATTTTTGTTGGCTTAAACTTTATGATGAATCAACAGTGTGATGCAGCCACTTAAAGGCAACTCCCTCTCCAGATGTGATGAAGAAGAGTTTAGAAGACACACTTCCTAGCAAAGTTCCCTCAGTTTTTCAAAACTAAGTGTTTTTTAGAATAAAAATAGTTTAAAGAAGCCACAGATTAAAAACCAAGACTTTTGGTCATTTATTCCAAACACACAAGGCAGGGAATTGCTCTCACTTGGTGGCTTTATGTCCCTGATTGCATCAATTCATCCAGAGACAACTCGTGCCCACTGAATAGACATGTGCTTTCCTGCATTTTCCAGGTCCTTTCAGCTGGGTTGGGACCATGTGACAGAGTTCTGGCAGATAGGAATGAGAGCAGAAGTGACATGGCACTTCTGGTCCTAGGTTCCTAACTGTTGCTGTGTCTCCCGTATCCTTCTTCCTCCTGATCAGAAGAACTTAAAGTCATATGTTGAAGTGCTGGCAGACAAGATGGAGAGAGCCTTCACCCCTGAGTCACTGGATAGTAGAGAGCTCTGCTGACCCACGTGACTTCACATGAGCAAGAAACAAAATTTTGCAGTTATTGAGCACCTGCAGTTTAGGGGTATCTCTATTGTTGCCACTAGCATAACCCCCCAACCCTAAAAGCATTTATCCTTGAACATCACCTGGCAAAGGTGTAGCAATGGCTTAGCCCTTATACTTCTTTACAAGGAACTTCTGAGAAACTCTGCTTGTAGCCCCAGTTTTGAGGTTTTTGGTGGATAAATAATGTACTCGCACACAAAACTGATGGAACTCAATTTTAGTAACATGACGAAGAAAACCACTCTTCTGGTCCACAATTCCTTTATATTAAAAAAAGTACCAATTTATACTAAGGCATTAAAAACACTTATTCATAAAATGTAACACACTTTGTGAATTATCCCAGAGAATGTTCTTATATTGGCTCAGGGTTTTGACGGGCCCTAAGGTCCCTTCCAGTTCATGAAGTAGAGCAGAAATTATAATGTAAGTATAATGGAGGAAATCTTAGAAGTCATCTAATGCTACCAAATACCAGACTTTATAGAGTAGGAAATTGAGCCTGAGAGAATTCGAGATATTTATCCCAGGTTTCTTTGATCTCCTGAATTCCATTTGCAGTGTTCTTCCCAGTACATTGTTTTAAAATTATAGTATTTAAAAGCAAACAATGACAACAACAAAAAAACCCTCTTAACTCTTTTTACCTTGCAAGGAGCTGATTCCTTTCTCCTGAACCTCTTCCATTGTTATGACTCCATGAAAGGGGACAGAGAAGTTTCCTTAGGAACAAAGAGAGGAAAGAAGATGTACAGCAGATGGGAAATCTGTGCAAGCATAGAGCCTACCTTATTCTCATACTACATAACCTTTCCTGGTCTTTCCCCTCTTCTTCTTCAAGCCTTTTTCCTATCACACACATACACATGCTACAAAATCTTTCTGGAACAGATACCTTATCTTCTTTCTCATTCCAGGTTAAACTTAGTCTAGGACAGTGATATTTTTAGTTCAATGAAGTTTTTATAAACTCTAGTTTATCATTTTAACCCCAGAGCATCCTTATCTCAAGGATCTTTCCCTATTCTCCACCCCCTAGTTTTAACCCTTTGCTGCAGAGCTTAGAAAGAAGCTTATTAGAATGATGATCCCTTGGTTAAACCAAGGTCTCCTGCAGCTCATGTCATCATCTGCCAGGCTGTCACTCAGGGTAGCCAGTGGTACCTCCATCATGGACAGATGTCCAGCTTGTGCTCACCGTGTTGGGAAGCCCAGTGGTCAGTGCCATTTTTTCCTTTTTCCCTTGTACCTTCCTGCCCAACTGTTTGTTGCTTCAATTGGCAATCTCATGGAATGGCCAGCAGGCCCCTGTGTTTTTTCCTTCTACAGTCAGGTCTAGGTTCATGAGAATCCTAAGAGTCTCTGCCACCCTTGACTTGATTCCATGGAAAACCAGGAGAGTGATCCTTGCTCTTTGGACATTCACTAACCTTCCTTGACTTTCCCCTAGCCCCTTCTCTGTGCTCCAGGAACCCCATGGTGGGGCCACAGGCTCCTGCAATCCTCCAGGAGGAAGGAGATGCCAGTCTTCCCTTTGTACCATCTACCATGTGCCCTCATTTCACTAGAGAAGTCCTTAAAGACCTCTGCCTTTGGAAAGTCAGGAAATCAGTTGAATTTTACCTCCTCCCACAATAGAGGTGGGAAAGAAAGGGACACTTACTACTTCAATAATAATAAAACCAACTTAGCGCTTGCTGTGTGCCAACTACTTTACAAACACTCTACATGATAACTCATTTAATCCTCATCATGACTCTAATAAGTAGGAATTCTAAAGAAAGTGACTCTTTTGTTTTTATAAATACTGAGGTAGAAGTATGGTGAATACTGCTTCATAGGTTCTACCGAAATACTCAGTATTACAGCCCCAAGAATATTATAGTCCAAGTCCTTTTGCTCTCAGTTTAGAGCTCTCTCCAAAATTACATGATCACTAGTCAGTAATACTGAAGGAATAGGAAAAGGTGTTGTTCTGTGTATCACACTCTTATGCTACAATTACTTTGCTGCTTACAGTAGGAGAGTAATATGAATGTATGCATGTCGGTTTACATCTTTTTATTGTGCTTTTTAACTGTAAGAGTGATAAATGCTATAACAAATTCAAACAAGAAAGAAATGTAACAAATGAAAAATGATTTTTGGTTAGTCATTTGCCTCATCCCGTTACGTTTAACCACTTTAAACAGTTTGAGTGTGTGTGTGTGTGTATGTTTTCTTTGTGTATACTTTCCTCAGTGTAGATACAAGTGTACATATATAGATATTTGTCTTAATTGTTGTAAAAAGGATATGCAATACATGCTTACCTATATGCATATATATGCTATATGTACCTATGTGACACTCCTTTTGGTGCCACTTAGCCAGCCAGAAATCTCGGTGGCCATCAGTGCCTCTGCCCGGACTTCACTCAGGCCCACTGGGCTCACTCGCAGGCTGCTCTCAGCTCACACTACTGGCCCAGATCCTGTGCCCACCATGCTCTGCGCTTAGCCTGTGGCTGGTCCCGGTGTGCAGTGACAGGCTTCCTCCTTGGGCACTGGCGTCTGGACAAGGCGGGATGTGGCAGTGCCCAAAAACTTGGAGATGCCAGCAACCGCAGAGCCCCAAGGGATGTTACAGCTTTTTATTCATTTAACATAGCACCACATCAGTGCATGTAGATACATCTCATTTTTTTTGGTCATTTTGTTCTATTCCTTGGTATGGATGTTACATGAATTATTGATCCATTTTCCTATTGATGGTATTTGCATTGTCTCCCATTTTTTGCACTTATAACAGTGTTACAATATACACATACAGACACACACACACACACACACACTCACACATGTCCCTTTCCCAGTAGACCCAGTACTTTTCTAAAATAAATTCTGTAAGTGGTACTTCTGGGTTGTAGAATGTCTTTATTTTAAATTTGAAAAATTCTGCCAAACGGTCTTTCAAAAATGTCATACGAATTTACACATGACAGAAATTACACATTAACAGAATTTGAAGGGGTTTACCTCCTTATCCGCTTAAAAACACTATATGTCATCAAAATTTTATAAATTTTGCCAATTTAATAAAAAATAACCTTTGTGTATTATGGATTATGTAATTGTCAGTTTGAGCATTTTTCAAATATTTATTGACCAATTGTAATTTTCTCTCTAAAATGCCTCTTCTTATTTGTTCATTTTAGTCTCCCTCCTTCTGATTTTGGTCTTTTGATGTTGTTTTATTGGAATATTTTAGCTATAATGGATGTTAACTCTTTGTCTTTTATCTGTGTTGCAAATATTTTCCCACAGTCCTCATTTGGCTTTTAAATTTGTTCTTGTGAACTGGTTTTTGCCAAAAAGAAGTTTTGACTTTTTAATCATTCCAAACTGTCAACCTTTCCTTCATGGACTCTGGGCCTCCTGTTAGACTTAGAAGGTTCTCCCCACTCCAAGACTGTAAAAATGTGGACAGTGTATTTATTTAGAGCATTAGATGACCAAATTCAAAGAGGCCACAGTAACATAATTGATACGATGCCAAAGAAAATAGCCCGAAGCCCTGCCGAGGAATCTGCCTAGCCCTCCTTTTCCCCTCCACTGTACTTTTCCGGCCTGTGATTATTTGTTATGCCTCTAGGCAGCCCTGACTTTCCATTAAGTCCTCCTCCCTCCTCTTTTATTCCTGTGCAGAGAGCTGTTTGCTTTTCAGTTTTTGCTTTTTGTTTTCACAGACTGTGATGGCCAATAAGTGGGACCCCTTTGACCTGTACTTCTCCCTTCCTAGGACCAAATGCAGCATTACTGACTATATGTACACCTTCCTGTTCTCCCGTCTCTCCTTTCATCCTCCCCCTTCCTGGAGTGAGCAAGCAAGGGAGCCAAAAGCAGACTTTGACACATCTGCCCTGGCTTGGCTCTATTCCAATGGGAAAGTTTGATGTTGCAAGCTTTTGAAAGTCGCTCACATTTCCCTGACTTACAATCATGCAGGCTTCCTTGACTTCCTTCTAATTCAATAAGGATAAAGAAAGCAAGCTGTTTGCTGCAGCCTGGGTCCTGAGGGAATCAGACCCAGGCAAATGGATAACCTAGAGCCATTGTCATGGGCCCCTTTTTTTGTCCCTTCTGTCTCCAACACCCTGCCCACCCGAGGCTGCCTTTTCTTTCTAGGCAGGGGCACTCTATTGGGGCATAATCTGATACGAAGTTTCTCTCCTTGGTGGGGTCAACCACAGTCCAATGTCAAGGGTTTTCTTAGGAGGATTTTTGCCCCACTACAGTCTCCATCAGCCTCCAACATCTGCTGTGTATGTTTATTTAAACATACTCTCTAAATAAAAGCAGTATGCTTTCTATGTGAATGTGGTTTCCAGACATGTCCCCCAGCAACCAGGGCTGCATGTGTCTGCCAAACCTAGATCCCTCTTAAGTAGCTATTTGGGAGCCACCCCTTCTCCCCAACTTCCCAGGTATTTATGGGGGGCAGGGAAGAGTGCAGGGGATGGAGGGCTGAGGCAAAGGGCTACGATGTTAGCTTTTAGTGAGCAAGGCCGGGCAGTGGAAGGCTGACCGGTACCTCTAACTCACCCTGCATGGGAAGGCCCCTCCTCACAACTCTGTCCTGGAGGAACGAAAGTCCCACTTCCCTTGGACCTTTGCTGGGGTGCAAGATCCTGCCTCATAACGCTGCGCTTGTTGTTGTTTAAATCCTGTTAAACAGCAGAATTTCCAAGAACACCCAGGCTGTCTTGTGATCTTTGGGATTGTGCCATGGGTGCTTTTATCACTTTCTTTCATTTTGGCTATCTGTATTTTCTGATGTTAGTAGTCTGATATAATTCTAAGTATTGCTTTTAATATTAAAACAAGGTTTCATTTTAACTTTTAAATGTTATCCTCAGGGAAGCTCTCAAAATTCCCAGGTGGGGGTTAAAGGAAGCTATGTGGGAATATAAATGAGTAATAAGGCCCCGAGATTTAGGAAGCCCTGGCTAAATTTCGGTTATCATTGTCGTCATTGCTATTACCATTACGGAGCAGAAATAAGTTTGGGGTGGAAGTAGAGAGTCAGCACTGAGTGAGGGGCAGACAGCTGATTCTAGAGTTAGATGGCACTTCAGCCACATTGATGTTTAGGAACCACACAAGGTTTTCAGCTAGTGACGTTCCCGGGGGCAGGAAGGATGGTCATATTTTGATGTTTTTGCCTGTGGCCTGGGTGATAGGCAAATAATTCAGTAAAGAAATAACCTCTATCAACATCAAACACTGAAGAGAGACCAGAAAAACTGAGAGTGTTTTGGGAAAAAGAGCAGAGAGAACTGAATTCCAAGGGGATCCCGAAGCAAAGAAAGATTGCTGGTCTGGAAACTCCTGAGAGATGTGCTTACCATATACACAGGCTTTTCTAAGATCATTTTGATTTCAAATATTCTGTCCTTGTGCTTCGACAAATGTAGCCAAGGGTTCTGATATTTACATTAGAAAACACGACCGCCATATGTCTCCTTAAGCACAGGAAAACTCTAAATGATGCATGAATCCCTCTGTTCAACATGCATCATGAATCCTGTATGCCCCAAATATTTTGAAGTTTCCCTTCACTGAAAGGAGCGGAGAAGCAGCAGCTCAGTGACACACGAGCTGCTGAAATGGGTTATTGAAAACCCATTTCAACCAGAGGGTACCGTTGCCTCTGTGGCTTCATGCCTCAAGCTCACACACAGGGCCTCTGCTGTTTAGGGTGCCAGGAACCCCTCTAGGGATCCAAGTATTCAAGGCTGATGAAGATGATTTCGAGGTGACATCTGAAAAGGCTGTATGTATGGCATAAAGGCTTCCCTGTATGAAATCCTGGCAAAGCTGTTCAGCAACATGTGAGTGGATGGAGAGAATGGGAATTTAAGAGGGCATAGTGCCATCCATGGCAGAGCTGGCCATAGACAGGAAGTTAGAGACCATAACTCTCTTTTTCGTCTGAACTAAAAAGCTCCAAAAAAAAAAAAAAAAAAAACAACCCGCGAGACTTGGCAATTGTAGTAAAGCATGACTCTATGCCTAACTGGTGAAATTTACTTTGTAAAAAACGAGATTTAAGATTATAGGGTTAAGAAGAGTGGCAACACAACTATTGGAACAAATAGCCACTGATTGCCTTCTTAATCAAATAAATTTGAACCTTGGGAGAAAAATAGGTGGCCTGTGATCTAAGACACTCCTTGTCTTCATAAAGCAACAGAAAAAACTGGATAATTCCAGGGAAGAAATTTGAGTTCATATATTCGTGGGTGTTGCCTTTATTTATTTATTTTATTATTATTTTTTTCCTGAGATGAGGTCTCACTCTGTCTCCCAGGCTGGATGGAGTGTGATGGTGCTCACTGTAACCTCAAACTCCTGGGCTCAAGTGATCCTCCCGCCTCATTCTCCTATGTACCTGGGACTACAGGCCTGTGCCACTACTCTCAGCTAATTTTTAAAATTGTTTTTGTAGAGACAGGTTCTCCTGATCTTGCCCGGGCTGTTTGAGTCTCCTTATGTTGCCTTTAACATACATACTCATCAGCCACTGAGGAACCTAGAACCTTCCAATATAGTAAGAGCAATGACAATAGGCTGTTCTGATTCACTGGAAACAAACAAAATAAAGGCGTGTGGCCTTTCACTAGATAATCTTTGCTTTTGAACCTGACCCCGAACCCCCTTCAGAGATGAACAAGCCCATTATAGTTCTGACATCTCAATGAGCTCAGCCCATGGGTCTGAAATCCTGACCTAACAGTTGAACCGCTCATGCTTAATAGTTTATTTAGGTTTCTTTCTGTAGAAGGAACACACAGAGGGCTCTGTATTAGTAGGGATTGTGGCTACATATCTACCACTATTGCCCTGCCAGGCTGATTTCTAAAATGAAAGCATCTATAATTTTTCTAATGACAATATTAATGTTCTCTATGAAATTAAAACAAGAATGATCTGAACTGATTTAAACATTCAGAGAATGTCCCGCTTTTACATGAAACTGTAATGACATGTTCAGGATACGAAGACAGTCACCATTTTTGGTATGGAGTAAGCGATTCACCGCATTCATTACTTAATTCCTTCAAAAACATCTTGTGAGCATCTAACAGCACAGGTACAAAACATCCCGTATTGTAAGAAACACTCAGACAAAGGAAGAGTTTATTATACTTGCAGTTAGGGCCATAATTTCCTGTTACCATACATTAGTGACTTTCTAGAAAGGGACTTTTTTTCTAGATCTTTAATACAATCTAACATTTAGGAAGTGCTTTATTATGCACTATATGTGCATTTTCTCTTCTCCTCATAAAAATTGTATGTTGTCAGTTGTATTACTATTTCGTCATTATGGATGAGATAATTAGGTATAGAGAGGCTAAGTAGCCTTTCCAAAGTCATTCCACGAGTAAATGGCAACACTAGAATGCAAATGCAGATGTGTCAGACAGTAAAGCTCATGCTCCACTGAGATTCTTTTTTGGATCTATTTACAAAGAACATTCTCACATGTAATCTCAGGTAAATCTCAAACCCCTCCCTGTATTACATACTATTATCCTTATTTTACACATGAAACTAGTAAGGTTAACACACATATTTAGGCCCAATCAGCTTTTTAAGTAAATCATTTTTAATGCCAATTATAGTAACCATTAAAAATTCCTAAATGTGATATTTTCACATGGTATACGTTAAATATTTGTCATCCAAGAAAATGTTAATGTTCAATTCTAAAATAAAATTTTTTCATCTCCTTTTCTGTATAAGGTTGCCAGGTTTAACAAATAAAACTACATAATGCCTAGTTAAATTTGAATTTCAGATAAACAACACATGATTTGCATGGGACATATTTACACCAAAAAATGTATTCATTGTTGATCTGAAATTCAAATTTAACCAGGCATCCTGTATTTTATCTGGCAGCCCTATTTCTGGAAGATATATTTAATATGTAACAAATGAGAACATTTTAAGCTATTTTCTTTTTTCTTTTTTCTTTTTTTTTTTGAGACAGGGTCTCACTCTGTTACCCGGGTTGGAGTGCAGTGACACTATCATAACTTACTGCAGCTTCGACTTCCCAGGCTCAAGCAGTCCTCCTACCTCAGTCTCCTGAGTAGCTGGAACTACAGGCATGCACCACCATGCCCAGCTAATTTTTAAATTTTTTCGTAGAGACGGGCTCTCCCTTTGTTGCCCAGGCTGGTCTTGAACTCCTGGCTTCTGGTGATCCTACCACTTTGGCCTCCCAAAGTGATGGGATTACAGGCATGAGCCACAGTGCCCAGCCCTGAGCTAATTTTTTAAAATTAGAAAACTATTCCTTTATCACCATCTAAACTTGAATTGAGCACATATCTGTATATGATGTCTGTCTAGCTGCTATGTAAATGTGTGGTATGGTCTCTGCCTTCCAGGAGCTTACAGTACCAGTCATTTGAATGTAAAAATTGTGATGAGTTGATAATTTATTGCTTCTAGTTTTTGCTACTAAAAATTAATAATAGGAATTCCCACTTGAATAATGTTTGATGAGTGGCACTGGTTTAAGATTCACAAAATCTTATGTGAGCTGTAAATATTACCATTTTACAGGTGAAGACAAAGAGGCAACATAGTTTCTTGTCTAAGGAGACAAAGCTAGGAAGCGGGAGAACAGGGGTGTATGGTACTTGATTCCGGATTCACTCATCTTTTTTCTATGCTCTGCCGTGCCTTAAAGCATCTCGGAGCAACAGGCCAGTCATAGATGTGGAGCACAAGGAAGGTGCTGCCAGAGAGAATGAATATCCTGCCTTTGGGGACACCTGTATGACTGTACTACATCCCAGATAACTGTAGAGGGCAATGATTCTCCAGGGAAGTGTCTACAGGTTGGCCTCAAGCCCCTCCAACTCTGTTAATGGAGCAGTCAGGGTTGGCTCTGGTGAACAACCTGGAAGCTAAGTTTTTTGGGAGCAAAAAGTAAGCCAGGAAAAAAATGCAGGTCTTCTAGAAATGGTCTGCTTTCCATCTAAGGTGAGATTTTTCTAGGTGGCTGTGGTTGTTAATTTTATATGTCAAGTTGACTGAGCCACAGGGTGCCCAGATATTTGGTGAAACATTAGTCTGGGTGTTTCTATGAGGTTGTTTTTGAATTTGTTTAACGTTTAAGTTGATAGACTGAGTAAAATAGATTGTCCTCTGTAACGTGAGTGGTCTCACCCAATCTACTGAAGGCCTGAATAGAACAAAAGGCTGACCCTCTCCCATATGAGAGAGAGTTGCTCCTGCCTGACTGTCTTTGGCCTGGAACATCAGTTTTTTTTCCCCACTTTTGGACTTGAAGTGAACCATTGGCTCTTCCTGGGTCTCCAGCCTTCTGGCCTGCAGACTGAAACTACACTGTCAGCTCTCCTGGGTCTCTAGCTTGTCAGCTGTAGCTCTTGGGATCTGTCAACCTCCCTAATGGTGTGAGCCAATCCTCTCTCAATCTGTATTATGTATATATCTATATCTATATCCATATCTGTATCTATATCCATATCTGTATCTATAACCCATTCATTCTGATTCTTTAGAGAACCGTGACTCATACAGTAGGTTAATGCTACCTCTACATCTGGCAAGGAAAGCAAATTGATCTTACCTGTCTCAAAAACCCAGAATGGCTTTCTTCCACAGCAGCTCACCCTGTCCTGTCATAACTGTGTGTTATTTATTCAGTGAACACTTATTAAGTACTTGATTTATAAGATACCATGAGAAGGTCAATGACCTGGTAGGGCATTTCAGGATAGTAGGGAGTCACCTATCCATGGCTCAGGTCAGAGGTTTTCAAACATTATTTTTACCAAGTCTATTTTTTTAAGTCTTACAAAAAAAAAATCATGTATAAAGTATATGGAAGGGGATCAGTTTTGATAAAATGGGCAGCGCTGGGGCAGGGTGGGGTGGCATGGAGGCCCTCTTCAGTGCTGGGAGCTCCTTACTCAGAGCCTCTGTTGGTTTTGTTTTCTCATGTAAAATGGAATTTTATTGTATTTGCTTTTAACACCATTTTCTTCTTGAAAGAAAATAACATTTTATTATACAAGTTACACATGCCTACTATAGAAAACGTAGTTGTACTCTAGCAAAAAATTACCCATAATCTAATATTCTACCAGAGAAAACTACTAACATTTTCATATTACTGAAACACACACACAGACACGTTTGCATATCTATTTTCATACTATACATAGACCAAAGCCCTTCTAAAAATGACTCCTTTCAGAACAACTAACCATATAGAATTGGATTACATCCTTTCATCAGGAAGTACTAGAGTAAATTTATCTTAACTAAAGAACCCGAGTTTTGTGTACAATAAACCCTCCATATCCACGAGTTCCCTGTCTGTGGATTCAAGCAACTGCAAATTAGAAATATTTGAAAAAAAAACTACAATAAAAATTATATGAATAAAAAATGGTGTAACAACTATATACCTAGCATTTACATTGTATTATGTATTATAAATAGTCTAGAGATGATTTAAAGTATGTGGGAGGATGTGCATATGTTATATGCAAAGATTAATCCATTTTATATCAAGGACTTGAGCATCTTCAGATTTGGTATTCACAGGGGTCCTGGAAGAAATTCGCCATGGATATGGAGGCATGACTATATACACCAGAGCCTTGACATAACAGATAAATGTTGTGTTCTTTACAGTAGTTACCTTGCAAGGCTATACACTCCAATAATGCTGAGAATATTATTTTTCAGATTGTCTATAGAGCCCTTAGTACCTTTCTCTGAATATCTCTAGTTATAGTAAATATTTATTCTTTAGGAGTTAATTGAATGTCTGAAAACAGTTGTATATTCAAAGAATAAAGAGAATGACTAAGTTGGATAATGTGAATAACCCATATGGGGTTCCAAAATATTTTGATAAAGGGCAATGAATTGGATTTTCTTAATTTTTTTGAAGTCAAGCATATAGAGAAAGGTCTAAAGTATTTCCTCTCTGGCAGCATTGCTAGAATATACATATTGTCTTAGAGGTGTATTTTGGAAGAGGATCCAAGGCCTTCAACTGCCTGGCCCTGGTGCACTTCCCCGATCTTTCCTCCCTCTTCTCCTCTACATATACTGTATACTCAGTTCATACCTGCTTTCCTAGCACAGCCTGTCTGAGTTTGCCTTTGCAGTGCTTCTCAAACTTTACTGTATCCATAATCAGCTGAGGATCTTGTTTTAAATGCAGGCCTGATTGAGTAGCTCGGGGATGGGTCCCAAGTTTCTACTTTTCTAACAAGCTCCCAGGGACCCCACTTTGAGTAGCGTGATTTCAAGGCTCAGCTCAAAATATTCCTGAATTGTTTTTGGATAAACAAGAGCTCCCTTCCTCTCTCTATCAGTGGTTCCCAAACCTGTCTGCGCACTGAAATCCCCTGGGGAGCTTCAAAACCTACTGGTGCCTGTGTCCCATCCCAGAGATCGTGGTTGAATTTTTAAAATATTTTCAGGAGATTTCAATATGCAGACAAGTTTAGGAATCTAAATACTCACAGTGCCTCCCATGCCTCATTATGTTTTAATTATGGCAATTGTTAGTTTGTTGGCCTATTTTGTCTTTGCTTTTGTCTAATCTGCCCTACCAGGTCACTGACCTTCTCATGCTGTTTTACAAACCTGGTACTTAATAGGTGTTTGCTGAATATGTAAAAAAATTAAAAATAAAAATGAAAATGAATATGTAAAAGATATTATCCTCATCATCAGCCCCAGTAGAATAGGGCCTCTCATAAAGCCTTTTACCTAAAATAACTTGTCTGACTTTTTCATATTAGACTTGTAGAAACTGCTGTTCTTTACACATTCAACCTTTTCATCTTTGCCCTGCAAATGCCATCAAGAAACTTTTCTGTTACAGTTTTTATTTTGCGTGGCTGAGTTTTCTTTTGCTACTCTAGGGTTACTAAGGAATTCAGCACAGCCCAGGGATCCAGGGACACCTGCCTGCCACCCCCTAGGATTCCAAAAGAGCAAGATTAGGGACTACTTCAAGCTTGTGCCCTGGCCCTCTTCCACAGGGGGGTCATCCTGCATGAACCTGGAGCAATAGAAGGTGGCCTGTTACCCCATCTTTGAAGGGTCTATCCAGGAGCTACATATCCCTGAAAAGATTGAGTCAATTCTCTTTCCTATTATACTCTTCCCCTTGTGATTTCCCAGCAGCTGTAAACAGTGCAGAATTGGCCGAGTGTATGCAGCAAAAGCCTGGATCTCAAGGTTCTGTCTCATGACAGAGTGAGTACTTCCATGTCCTTGTGACAGCCAGCATGGCTGCTTCCAGTCCTCCTGCTTTACAGTCATACCTGGGAGGTTGAGCAAAGGTCCCACACTGCATTTATTCTTGGAGAATTATTAAGTCTTACAGTCACCCTTTGTGCTGTGGTTACTACATAAGTTTCCAGGTCCTTAGGCTGCTCCCTGATGTTTAGAACAGATTTGTGTGATGTGCTGACATTGTGTCTAACCCACAAAACAGTGCTGAGGCCCTGCAGCAATGAATGACTTAGGAGAGAAGCTACTTGCTCATAACAGAAAACCAAACCCCCATTAGCTTAAACAAGTAGGATATTTTTTCTCATCTAACAAGACACTTGTGTAATGTTGCAACTCAAAATACCATTAGGAACAATCTTTTTCTATATTCTGCTCTACCATTCTTAGTAAGAAGACACCATCACTTCATGGTTGCAAGATAGCTGCTGAATCTATGGATTTCGCATCCTTAAATCTAGGCAGAAAGAATAAAGAAGAGTGAAGAATCATCCCTTCCAGAATTCTTAGGAACTCTGAGCTGATGTTGCAGGCTACCCTTTGCACAAGAGAGTCTGGTAAAGAGTACTTTTAGGGCCAGGCACAGTGGCTCAGGCTTGTAATCCCAGCACTTTGGGAGGCTGAGGAGGGTGGATCACAAGGTCAAGAGATCGAGACCATCATAGCCAACATCGTGAAACCTTGTCTCTACTAAAAATACAAAAATTAGCTGGGTGTGGTGGCATGTGCCTGTAGTCCCAGCTACTCGGGAGGCTGAGGCAGGAGAATCGCTTGAACCTGGGAAGTGGAGGTTGCAGTGAGCCGAGATCATGCCACTGCACTCCAGCCTGGCAACAGAGTGAGACTCCATTTCAAAAAAAGAAAAAAAAAAAGTACTTTTAGCTGGGCACAGGGCCAACTTATCCATTAGGCATAGCAGGTGCAGTACCTAGAGCTCGCCATACTTTTAGGGACTTACAAAAATGTTTTTCATTTAATTTCTTTTAAAATCAGAAGACAAAATGAATACAATAAATATGAGTATACAATAATAAATTGTCAGGATTGTGTTTGTTTAACAGTGCAGTTGTAAAATATAATTTTAATATCTAAATGGAGGAAGGGGGTCCATGATGGCAAAAGCACCTAAGAACTATGGAGTTAGCATGCAGCCCCAACTGGTAATGTTGATGTTTAGAACAAACTCAGGGATGTGATTGCTTGCTTTATTTTTGGTAAAAATAAAGTGAATTTTCATAGCTATATTTGTGATAGATCAAAATTGAAAACAACCCAAATGTCCATCTTTTGGGGAACTGATAAGTAAATGTGGTTCATCCTAACAATGAAATACTACTCTGTAATGAAAAGGAGTGTATCATTGATACATAGGAAAGCTAGACAAATCTCAAAATAGTTATGCTGAGAGAAAGAGTTCAAACAAACTACATGCCCTGTGATCCCATTTATATAAAACTCTAGAAAATGCAAACTTATCCTTAATGACTGAAAGTAAGTCAGTGGTTGCCTACAGAGAAAGAGTTGGGTGGGAGGGAGGAATTACAAAGGGGCGGGGGGATAAATTGGGGAATGATGGATATGTTCACTCTCCTGATTGTGGTGATGGTTTCATGGGTATAGTTCAATACCCAAACTCATCAAATGGTACACTTTAAATATGTGCAGTTTATTATATGTTATTTATACTTCAGTAAAACTTTTAAAAAGTGGAGGGGTGATAGATACTGGATTGGCAATTAACATTTTCTACCCAAAGTGGTGTGATGTTATTTCATCCCTTTAATTTGGATATCAGCACATAGAAAACAATCATGCTCTGTGGGGCCCTTACTCAGAAGTTGGGTACATATAAGGAGCCAGGTTTCCAACGGTCTTTATTTAGTACCATGCACATGCCTTTAACACCCTGAAACTGGGTGTATAATTGGCATTCTTTGGAAGCTGAGCCAAGGTGTATACATTACCTAAAAATTACCCATTAGATCTGTGACACGGGCCCTGCCTCTTCTCTCCTTTGGTGTACATTATAAGATACATGACATCATAGTCTCTCTCTGACTGGGCCACTGACTCCAGTTCTCCACTAGGCTCCTTGTGGCTTCATATTCTGTAATGAAGTTACTGTGGGACTGGCTGTGTCCTGAATGTTTCCCCTGCTCATGTCATCTGGTATCATTACCTGATATCGTCAGGGAAGGAGTTCTCACTGTGAGGCCTTTGGGTGTGACCTTTGTAGTGTTCCTGATTCTCTAGGTCTCTTTATTTATGTTTACTTTTACTTTCTTTCTCTGCTACCTTCCTCTCCATCCTTTATTCTTTACCACTTGCATTCCCAGGAACATAGTACTTCTCACTACAGAGATGAGGTTTCCTTTTCTCATCCTGCAATGTTTGCAGTTTCTGGCTTTTTGTTTCCACTACGGTTCTTGCTGGTTTAGCTACAGGAATGGTGGAGAGCTCTTGACTCAGTGTCTGCTGACTTGGCTGGGATCATCTCTCTGGCACTACGGGTGGGAAAGAAGAATGATTGTGAAGGAGACTTCCATTCTGAACTGTGGTTCCACTTCTTTTAACATATTTTAAGCCAAATATACCTTACACCATAAGAATTTATTGTCTTTTAGAGAATTCCTATTTTTTGTGATATTCCTGTTTCTTCCATTGGTATAAATTTGACTACACTTTTTTTTTTTTTTGAGATGGAGTTTTGCTCTTGTTGCCCAGGCTGGAGTGCAATGGCATGATCTTAGTTCACCGCAACCTCCGCCCCCTGGGTTCAAGCGATTCTCCTGCCTCAGCCTCCCGAGTAGCTGGGATTACAGGCATGTGCCACCATGCCCAGCTAATTTTTGTATTTTTAGTAGAGACAGGGCTTCTCCATGTCAGTTATGCTGGTCTCGAACTCCTGACCTCAGGTGATCTGCCTGCCTCGGCCTCCCAAAGTGCTGAGATTACACTCGTGCGCCACCGTGCCCAACCAATTTGACTACACTTCATATTAACATGTGAAGAAAGCAGTTCTCTCACATAAGCAAAAAGCCAGAGGACAAAACAAAGTATAATCTTTACCCCAGTAACCTAGGAGCCTAAAAGGGAGCAGCTCATCAGATGACTGGTGCTTGTAGATACACCCACCACCTGGCACCTACGCTAGATAACCCTGTACACGGTGAGATTTCAGAAGAAGTTTTGATTGCACTAGTTAAGACTATAGTCCCATATTTTCTGAGTGATTTTGAGAAAGAAGAAAAATGCCAAAGGGAGGAAATAAAAAGACAGCAAGCTCTAGGAAGACATAAAGAAATGGAAGAAAGATGAAAGAGGCAGTTACAGATTTTCAAGATCACTGGATTCAAGTGCTGATGAAGTTGAAAATTTATGAGCAAGAAAGGAAGAAAGAAGGAGGGTCAGAACTGCCATTGCCCACTGACCTCTACCCCAGAGAAAGGAAAAGAGTTGCACAGGAGTTTTCACATAAAGAACACTCAAACCTCGTTCATGATCTTCTAAAGCTGCCGTTCCTCCCCCACTGGGAAGATCTCTAGTGGCCTGGAAACTCCTTTTTTGATGACAAGGGTGAAATGGTAATGCGTAAAAACACACAGAACTATGGTGTTTGAGAGGGCGAAGCCTTGGGAAACAAGAACAAGGATGGAGTTCCAAGTTGTCATAGGTAAGACTAGCAAACCAGGAGGAAAGGTCAATATTAGCAACACTACATAGATGCCTCCAAAATATGTTTCCAATTAATTTGCAGAAATACTTAAGTGCCTTACTATAATGTCTTGCTAAGGACATGGCTCATGCAGAAGAGTTGGGTGAAGACTTGAAAACAGAAATTGAGAAAGAGTATGAAAACTGTGGCAAAACTGGAAAATGTGAAATGTTACGAATTCCTGGTACATGGAAGGATACCTAATGATAGGCTTTAAATTTCTATTATCAGGTATTTGGATAGCTTAAGCTATATCTCTCCTCTTACAGTGGAAATAAATCAACGTAGCATAGCAAATTAAAACTCAGGTTTTGGAATGACTATAGAATAGAGTGACTTTGAACAAATAACTCTCTGAATAGCAGTGGGCTGGAAAACTAGCTCTCCACAAGAAAACAATAGGCTTAATTTGTAGTGTTTGCTTATTTCCTCGGTATAAAGACTCCAACCATGGTTGATTTCAAACTACCAACAGTTTAATAATCAGCTTTCAAAATTCTTGAAAATTTGCCTGTAATCTCAGCTGAGAGAGGCTGAGGCAGGAGAATCACTTGCACCCGGGAGGCGGAGATTGCAGTGAGCTGAGATTGCGCCATTGCACTCCAGCCTGGGGGACAGAGCAAGACTCCATCTCAAAAAAAAAAAAAAAAAAAAGGAAAAAGAAAAAAAGTTCTTGAAAATTTAACAATTGGCTGTCATGAGCTGGAATGACCCAACCCTAGCCCTCTATTGTCTCTGTTTCTTCACCTTAAAAACAGGACCAATACTGTCCCTCTTAGGGATAGGATCAGTAAACACATCCCAGCCTTGTGCTCAGTGGATGGATATCACTCCCTAGAAGTAGCCATTAGTATTTATTAGTTTTTCTAATGCAATACCAGAATACTTTTTCCATTGAAATAAGATGCTATTTTGCAATGCTAAATTTGTTGACATCGTTTTCCAACCCAAGAAATCTTAATAGCTTCACAACCTTTGCCTGCCCATGGTTTATCATTGCCCAATCTGCTAATTCCTTTACTCAATGTTTTGCCAGTAAGTTGAGTATTAGTCAGACTAGTGACTGCCCCAGGGTTGTGCTTTCTCATTAGCTGACTAGTCTGCAGCCTTTCACCTCAGCCCTTCCCCTAAAGGTTGTTTGAGCAGGAATCCAACCAGCAATTACTATATTTCCATTTGCGATTAGAAAAGAAGAGGTTTTTCTTATCTGCAAACATTTGGCCACCAAATCCCAGGAGTATCACTTATATGCCATTTGGAAGAGTCACTGGTCCTTTACTGTTTCTAGACAATGTTTCAAATGGATCATGTGGCTGAATTTGATTCCTATTTTCAGAGAGCAAAGGATAAGCTTAGTGCCTCATAGAATTGTACCTGAAGCACTTACAGAAAGCATGTACCATGTAACCTGTCCCTAAAGAGGAGGCTTCGGTGACAATACTAATGCAAGCTCTGTGAAGCAGGGATAGTCTCTTGCTCAACCTTGTATTCTCATAGCACAATGTATGTACATCATGGTCTTTCTAGCCCCTCATTGACTCCTGGCCCAGTTGAATTAAATTACCAATCTGGAAGAAGCTAACTTTAAGACCATTTTATGTTTCCAAGATCAATTCAGGATATTAGGTTTTCCTGGGAGGTGGGGTTGGAGGGGAGATCTGACATTATTTATGACTCTGGCTAAGAGGAATGCCAGTACTGAATTAAATAAAATACTGTCAGCATCATGTTCTCTTAGACAAAAGAACATCCCTAGAATCAATTTAGGAAAAGAAAAGAGAGTAAAGGTAAAAACAAAAACTTTCTGAGAAGTGGGATTAAGGGGCAAATTACTTCACTTTCCTACATCTAATTTCTTAATCTCTAAAATAGGAGTAATGTTACCTACTTCAGAGTAGGTTATGATGAAGATTACTCAAGATAACCTTTGTAAAGCAATAACATAGTGCCTCTCACATTTGATGACCTGAATACATGGTTTCTAAATTATTATTATTGTTATTGTTGCTGCTGTTGTTATTTTTACAGCCCAGTGCAGTTACCAGTATAGGTCAGGAAATCTGTGTTGTGGTTGTCATCACTATAGTGAGGATATTAGAAGATTAAAGTTGGAAAGAATGTGAGAAAAGTATGTACTCTTGAGTGACATGTATTCTTATCCCCAAATGTTCTTCTTTCATGGGGATTTTTTCTTCTTAGTTTACAACTTTCAACCACCATTAAGAAAATCTTTGGGAAAGCAGTAAGCTGAGATATGATTCTTTTGCTCTCTACTAAGTCAAGAAATGTCATCTCTCATGTGCCAAAGACATTTTGCAATTTTGTTAAAATTAATTTTTAATTAGCCAGTGTAATAGAACAGATTATTTTGAGTGACTTGTCATGTGTTACTATTTCCATTAGTTACACAACTTTGTGCAAGACTTTGAAAATGAAACACAGAATCCTGGGATTCCCTTGCTGTGGGCAAGTACACGTGCTGTGAGTGGATGTGAGGATGTCTTCTGAAGGGAGGAGAATTCTCCTCTGTCAACTTTCTATCTAGGGCAGAATATAAGCCATAGCTTGATCCTATGTTTATAAAAGAGAACACTTCTTTTTTCTTGGGACTGAGTTGAATTTGGAGACCTCAATAATGGCTAAAAAACAAGGTCAGTCCTGCAATGCATACAGGTTAGGTGGGCCCTTCATGGTAAAATGCAGGAAGCCTAAGGAATGAGACAGCCTGTGAAAAACCCTAGGAGGAGCTCCTAGGAGATATCCTCTTTAGAAGGCAGTTTTTAATATTCTCTTTTTGCATTTTAATTGCCTCCTTTCATGCCCAGTACTACAACAATCCTTTGGTAAACATTGCTGCATAGTCTTAGCTGGTACTTCAAGGAATTAGCAATGCCCATATGAGAGAATCTAATGTCCATACCTAAGGAGGAAGCAAGTTATGAGATGGTAAAAGATGAATGACTGGGAGAAAAAAAATACCAGTCCAGAGCAAGAAAGCTGGCTGGGGGTTCCAGAGATGACCGAGTAGTTTAATGGAACATAAAAGCATTCCTAAGAGAATTCTCCAAAATTTACTTAAAGATAGTAGGAGGGTAGAGAAGAATCTTGTATGACCACATTTCCACATTGCACAGAATGGGACTATTATTATGTTTGTTTATTGTCATCATTGTTTGAATTAAAAGGAAAAATTACCCAGAAAGTGGGAGAGTTTGCCGGCATTAAAGCTGAATTAACTTGCTAGGGCTAACGTAACAAATACCACAGTCTGGGTGGCTTAAACAGCAGACACTTATTTTCTTACAGTTCTGGAGGCTGAGGAGTTCAAGATCAAGGTGCTGGCAGGCTTGGCTTCCCCTGAGGCCTCTCCCTTTGGCTTGCAGAGGGCCATCTTCTCTCTGTGTCCTCACACAGGGCCTTTCCTTTGTTCATGTGCATCCCTGGTGTCTCTTTCTCTTCATAAGAACTCCAGGCATATGAGATTAGGGCCCCTCCTGATGGCCTTATAACCACCTCTTTAAAAACCTTATCTTCAGATACAGCCACAGTACTGGGGACTAGGGCTTCAACATATGAACTTGGGGGAGGGTGGGGGGCACAATTCAGCCCGTAACAGGTGTTCATACAGATGTTAAAATGCATTCATATTTCAGCCCTAAAGTGTTGAAAAACACAACGACATGATGGACGTCGATGTCAGGGTAACAGCCTCTTTCCTCCTTACTCTGATACTCTCCCTAACCCTCTGCAAAGCGTGGCATCATCTTTAACTGACTGTCTTTCTAGAAACCCTAGGCTGTCTTCTAGATGCTATTTCTCTAGAAGATTTTAATAGAGAGACCTACATTAAAGGTCACAGGAGTGGGAGGATGGAAAGGACTGCAAGGGTAAAATCGGGAAAGGAAGGAAGCTCCTGCCTCTAGGCCCAGCATGTAGGAGCACAGTTAAGAGATGACAAGTTGTGCTGCAGGCAAATCTGCTTCCTACACTCACTTCCCAAATACCTCTGGAGGCATCCAATACTTCATTCAAACGCACTCAAGGCGAAGCGCTCAAACCGTCACTGAACATTTCTCTGGCAGGTTGCCAGTACTTCATTCTTCTTGTTAATGGTGACAGAGAAAATTACACAAAGCATCCAGGATGCTGATATGCCACTTGCTTCACAGTTTACTTCAAAGTCCCCTCAGAGTTTTCCGAATTTTACTTTCTGGAACAAAGAATATTATTGGCATAAGCATCAAGTATGCAGTTAATAGTGAGCAATTTCTGAATTTTTGAGTCAGAAGCAATCTGTCAGCAAGTAATAGCCAAAGGCCCTGTAGTAATAGGCTTAGTTGGCCCAGGCTTATTTCTCTAATTCACTGATTCTCTTGCATCAAAACAGCAAAAAACAAAGTTTAAAAAATGATGATTTTTCTACCAAGTTGTCTCCCGTGGCTTTTATTCTTATACTGTAACATGACCTGGCATTACCCTGGGCTCTCCTTTAGTCTCCTTGGTTGAGGATGACATCTAGGGAGACCTATTTAACTCATCAAATCATAAAAGCTAGACAGAACCACAAGAAATTGTTCTGTTAAATCTCCCTGGAAGGCTTCAATGAGGCACAACCATCAAAGTTTTTCAGGGAAGAAAGGCAGTGTTGTCTGTATATTTAGCCGTCAAAAAGGTTTTCCTGTGTCAAAGTCGCTCTCCTGCCAGTGTCTGAACTTGAATTAACTCTAAATCTTGCCAAATTCCCTGCCCCACATCCAGTCTCAGGAAGAAAGCCTGGTATTCGAATATTTTCCAACAAAATACACAAACTGAACTCTCAACATTGACCCTGGGTTGCCTGTGAAATCTTGATTTCCAATTTCTACAGCTAGAAGAGCCCTTAGCCCAGGGCTGCTTCAGAAATCCTTGCTTAATGGATGACTCATATGGTCAGTCCTTGAAATCTGAAGATTAATGTTGATCATAAACGTGAATTTTTGGGGAATACTCGGTAATTTTTTGAAGCCCAGTTTTTCTTATAATCTGTGAGAAACTTAGCTGCTTATTTAAAGCTATTTGCTTCTCAATTTACTGTGTCTCTGCATAGGTGATCAAACATACTTTGCTGTATTCTCCTCTTTCTGTGGTCTCCCTTTCTGCTTTCTTCCACTCAGTCTTCAGCAAAGAACCATGTTCTCAAGAACACCATCCATCCGACAGTGCCCCCTGCCTCCCATCTGGCAACTCAGCAGTGGTATTCATTAGTCCTGGCTCTGAACTCCTGGCTTGTGCTGTTGGACCAAATAGCCAGTAAGGTTTGCTCAGTGACTTGTTGTTTGCAAAGAAAGAAACTAAGGCATGTGATCACTTAGTGAGGAGTGGGTGAAGAGAAACTTGAGCTGTACAATGTTGCCTGTTATAAGCATCGTTGTCAGCCCAGAAACCCAGGGTTTCCAGGCCTAGAGTCACAGTGAAAATGCTTCAGGTGTCATCAGCACAGTTGAACTGCATATCCCACCCTTGCCAAACATGGTCCACCTCACACCCTTATTTCACAGGTGGGAAAACTGAGTCCCAGAGACACATGGTATTAATTTGCTTAAGTTTGCATGGTATATAGCTCATTGCTGGGAAGTTGTATGTAGAACTCAAGTCCCCTGACTTCCAGTTCAGTGTTCATTACAGTATACTGTATGGTCCTCAAGTACTTCTTCACCATTCTGTCCATCCCATTATGCCACCCTAGACTCAAAACCATGCAGGTCAGCTTTCTGCATGCCAAAATAACAGGTCTAAACACATGAGCTATGCATCCAAAAAGCCCGAGGGTACGCCTGTCTTTCTGTATCAGGAATTGTCCATGTTCTTTACCAGCCAGCCCCTGGAGCAGCTAAATGGCACTTGGTAGCTTTGCACATTCATTCTTCAGAGAACAAAGGAATACAGATGACACATGATGTTGCTGGCCTCCTCAAACTCCTTCAGTGTTTTCCCTACAAAGGTTCAAACACCATGGCCCCATATTAGAGATGCTCCTTAGCCTGCCCTAAACCTCCCTGCTTGCTTTCTCCACAGTTGTTCCTTAACTTGTTCTTTCTTGTTGCTGTGCATTTGTCTCCTTGCATACAGAGTGCCCCTCCCACTTCTTCACCCAATTATGCTTGAAACTCCAGGACCCACATTCTTTTTCCCAGGCATTGCTCAACAGTCACGCCCTTCACCCTCTCAAGAAAAATTTCTACTCTGTAGAGAAAAGTGGTTCTGAATAATTAACACACTTAGTGGCCACTAGAGATGGATTCACAGCATCAGTTTGGCCACAAGCCTTGTTCCCCACCAGTTCCTCCTTCTCTGTTTATCTAGTATGATGCCTGGCATATAGCAGCTTAGTGAGTGTTGGGTGAATGGGAATTAATGAATGAATAAATGTACTTTATATGCTCTGTATGTGTATGTATATGTTTGTGGGTGAGTATGTGTGTGTATATGTGTATGTTTGTTGGGGGATATATATGTGTATATGTGTATGTTTGTGTGTAGGTGACTATGTGTGTGTATTTAAAAGTATTTGAAGTTTGAAAGCCAATAAAGCTACACTTCTTTTTTGTTCCTCCTCAACAATGAAAATTAGGAGTTCAATGATTCAACAATGAAATTAGGAGTAGAACTTAAGTTTATGGTCGGCTTAAGTAAACCACAACCCTCTCCATCCCTTCCATCTTAGAAACATCAGCTTTCTGAGATTTCAGGCTTGCTATTTCACCCATAACTTGTAAATGGGTCCAGTGGCTCTGAGTCAGAGCCCCAGACTTCGGCTCCACTGCAAAGAAGGGCTTCATTGATTTGAAAGCCAAGCCAAAGAAATGTTTGCTTTCCTTGCAGTAGCTGACTGAATTGTGCTCCGGAGCGGTTGGGCTGCACACGTGGCCCTGTGAACTCTGCAGGGCCAGGGTGTAGCTCCATATGGCGTAGGTACTCATGATATGGCATCATGCCATCTGCAATGGCTTAGCACAATGCACCTATACATAGGAAGCTTAAAATATACTGGAGCCCTCAAATTTGCTTTTAGTGGTTGTATAAATTAGTACAATCTTTGTGGGGGTAGTTTGGTAAAAGGTTTGAAAACTTTAATTTTGCCTATTCTTTTTCCTTACAATTTTACTTCTGGAGGCTCTAGAGGAGAAACCATTTCCTTGCCTCGCTACTGCAATGCCTACACATGGTCACAAAGATAATTTATGCAATTATTTTCATTGCAGAATTGTCTATAATAATGAGTGAGTGGAAATTACTTAAAAGTCTCTCAATATGGTACTAGTTCATTAAATTGTGGTATAGTGAAAAAAACCCAGAATACTAAGCAGACATTCAAAACAAGCGAGAGATGCATAAACTGGCATGAAAAAATGTTCACAATATGTTGTTCAGTTAAAAAAAAAGTAAGTTGCATGCAGTATATCTAAAAGAACTGGACTTTTGAAATCAAAATCATGAGATACGTATAATGTGTTATATATATAAGCAGAGAGATTTGGAAAATAAAGAGGTTATCTCTTGGCTATGTGATTTGGGAATGGTTTCACCTTCTTAAAACATTTGAACTTATTTTCCCAGTTACCTTTTGCCTTTATAGTTGGAAAAAAAGGGAAAAACAAACTTACTTCTGAAAAATTTAGTAACAGATGCTATGTAAATTCTGAAAATAAGGGAGGTCAATCATAGGTATTTGGTAAGAAACCAAAACACAAGGCATTCTTCTTTCAGAGGAAATTTAAAACCAAGAAGGAGCAAGCACCCTTTTGTTAACCTTATTATAATCAACTGCTTTATATTTATTTTCATTTCCACAAAGTGACAGCAGTCACATAGAAATGTTTCTCAATGACATTAGAATGTCAAGACTCCACTGCGGTCTGTGTCTACTCTTTCCAGATGCTTCTGCAGTTTGACAATAAACTTAGGGAAATCTCCTAGAATTCCCAGGGTGAGGAGAAAAAAAAAAGGTCTTTCTGTTATTGAAATGAATACAGGAATACAGTAATATTAAACAAAAGGATATTTTGAAAGTTTGGATTTAATTAGCTTGTTTATGGTTTAAATCTCTTTTTAGATGGTTCTATTTCTGAATTTAGGAAGGTTTTAAAATGACTTCTCTTTTCTCTTTAAGTCCCTGTATCCCAATTTTTGTTTTTCTATACTTCAGAACCTAATCAATTTAGAATTCTTTACACATGCCAATTCTTTCAAGTGAGTTTAGCCTACAAAATAGTAAGATGCAATCAAACTTGTTTTTGTACATATGATTTCATATGTTTGAAAGTCAACATGCAAATATATGCAAAAACTCTCAAATTTTTTTTAATGAGAAAAACATCTCCCTGAATTTGAAATCAAGCCTTATGGGTGGTTCCAGGTGCTATGAAGTTAGGTGGCTCATGTACATGTGTGGGTGATGGATGGCAGACACCAATCTCACTCTCTTCCTGAAGGTAGCTAAAAATCAAATATTCCAGGAGATCAAGAAGATGCAGTCAGTGGACTCTCAACAATACTTTTCTAATTGACAGGTTTTATAGATACTTTTTCAGTGAACATGGTTTCATTTACCTGAGTCAATAATACTCCCACAGGAATGAGAACCACAAAATTATACTTTTTTAGCTTGCCTGGCAATATGATGCTTCTATTACAGAATGATAAATCCTATTACCTGTTTATTCAGAATTTCAATTTAATTCAACCTTTAGAAACACTGCTGTTTTTCTTTCTCTGAGTCTCATTTCTGTCACTGGCCATCTTCTCTGCATACAGTGTCTTCTATAATGAGGCAAGAATTTCAGTATCTTGCAAAATTCTCTGTTTAGCGTCATAATAAGAATTTACAAAAACTTTGTTCCATTTACTTCTACTTAAAATGGCTTCCTTTTCTCCAGAATCATAGAAGTATTATCAGCATGCTAAGCAAAGACTCCAAGCTTAAGGGAGAAAAAGAAAGAAGGGATTTAAGCGGTTGGATTATAAGATATAATGGACCGGAGAATTCTAATAGGTTTGGAGTGCTACAGATATCTCCCTGGCCCTAGAAAGGCCCAACCATCCAGAGTACTACCCAAAGTCCCACCTCCTACCCCCATACCCTCTCACCTTCCACCCATGCACCCTTCTTTCTCATGACCCTTCCCACCTCCTAACCCTACTCACCCTCTTACCACCTGTCCACTCACCTATAAAGGTGAGCTGATTGTAGATGATTCAGGATATGAATTAAGCTGTCCTGGGGATAAAATCTCAACTAACTACCTCTTGGCACATTCTAAGATATAAAGTGACCTTCCTCAGGGTAGAATGCAAACATCCCCTGTTCATCCCAGGCATCAAATGGATTGAGTGATTATGTTTCTGAGGACTAAGACCTCCATACGTTGGTGAAGTAAGGCCAGTTTTTTTGATGGTGAAGATTTGGGCTCCTGTTTAAACATAGTCAAGTTTCTTACCGAAGGGCCATTAAGGTCTTTTGTGAGAGAAAATAAAGAAGATTGAGCTTTTGGATAAAGCAGAAGTTGGAATAAAGTTAGGGAGGCTGGAAAGAAAAGGAAGGGAGGGGAGAAGGGAGCCCTGAACCAGGCAGAGGGTCTACCAGGAGCAGCACAATCATCAAGGGATAACCAGGCAAGAGACCTCGAGGAGGACCTCTATGAAGAGATAATCATTTCTGTTGTTTTTGTAAAATATGTCAATCTATACAGCTCCATGTATATGTTTGCAAATGAACCTTAATATATACTCTAGGGGTGTTAATTAGCATATGAAACCCCATAATCAGAAATCCACATATGAGCAATAGCTCCAAATATTGCTATCTAAATATGCACTAGAGAGTTTTTAATTAGGGCAAAGCATATTAGCAAATACTTTTTTTCTATTGGAATTAGAGATTTTTCAAGATAGATGTTTGATCAGGAAGATTTAGGCAGATGTTTTTCCCCTGCATTAATGAGTTATAGGAAACCTAGCAGCCTAACATCTGTGGGGGTGGTGCCCTTGATCTGGAATGCTGTTTGGTCCTGTGTTCCCTGGACACTTAGATGCGTGATTCTACCTGAAGGCTAGCTGAGCCTCATCAACATTGTTACCTTTCACTCAGCAGAAACCTTTCTTGTATACAAGGTGTGTGTTAAGACACCAGAAAGAATGAAGAGTGAGGACTTTAGCAAGTTTAGAGAATGAATTGTCTTACTGTTTTGGTACCTCATTGCTTACAAAGTGAGAGAGCACTGAGTCTATTAGTCACTATAATACATATAATTTTTTATTACAATATACACATAGGTAGAGAACTATTCGAAGAGGGCATATAGCTCTCACCTACTCTAGTAGTAGAAGGCTATGTTTACCAGAAAAACCTGACACCTGGAAAACATCTGCTTGGCTTAACTGAAATCTCAAAAGAGGAAACTGCTGAAGAACCCAGCAGTGAAGTGAAAGTAAAGTCCTTGTCTGTCAACTGTCAGGCTGTATGTGAAAGGAAACCTCATTTCACATTGCCAGCATGCATTGGACAAATGTGAGGCAAGGTGCACAGGAGTTGCTGCACCTCGACTTGGGGAGAGCTGCAGGAACTATCTTGAGTCCTCTGCTGGCCCTTGGACACATACTATTTAGGACTGAAACTTCTTTGATCCTCAGCCGATTTTGGTGCAGACCCTCCAGCTCTTGGGTCTCCTGGATCACTCTTCCTCCAAATCTAGGGAGTGTCCGCTCTGACATCTTGGACTGGCCAGTTATGTATGAAAGGTCAGTTAAGTGTGGGGATTGGGAAAAGATGGTCTCATAAGGGGTGATGTTCTGGTGACAGTATTTTTCATAAGATAAAATGCATTTCCATTATGAATGTTTAGATTAGAATGATTGGAAAAAGAAGGTATCAAGGATAGGCAGTGTGGAAAAAAAGGCCAAGTTTATGGGAATACCAAACAAAATAAGAACACAAAGAGCACAGTAGAGTCATTATCAACCATAAGTGCAGAAGGATCATTTTGTCAATGAAGTATTCAGATAAAAACCAGACAAGTTCTGTTTTATGTATCCAAGACAACTAGTATTGTTGATTGGGAGCCTAATTTGTGCATCTTTATTCTGGAATTCTCTTTGATATGGCTTTATTATTTTTAAAATATATAACTATTTGTTGTTTGTTTCCCCAGGCCTGGAAAACTTACATTCATGGGTTAGAGAAAGCTGACAATAAGATCACTAATCCACCACAGATAATTGTTGAGAAACCAACCGTGAAGACCAGGGACAGTACTAGAGGATGTGGTAGAGGAGGAGGATAGCATGAAGGGAGGAAATGACCTAACTTTATAAAAGAAAATAAGGCAGATATTGAAGAATGAACACTAGTGAATGAATTTAACGTTGATCTCTGGGGATTCTCCTGAGCAAGTGGTGAGATAGGAGATGATCTTTTAGAACCTGTCTGCACTATAAGGAGAAGTAATGCCAGACTGTTATTTCCTCTAAGGCTATGGTTAATCAACAGGTGGATGGGGGTACTGTAGACCTAGTGAGTCTGGACTTATGGCACTGGATAATGTCTAAGTTCTGTCCTTGGTCAAGACAGAGAAACAGAGGCAGCAGCTTTGAAAGCTGGTCTTTGGACTGATGCCAAAACAGCTGCTTAAGAGTCACCTAGGGATGTTGTTAAATAGTTCAAGATGCCTGTGGCACAACCCTTTAGGCTAAAGAGTGAAGTCCAAAAATCGAGTTTTAGTAAGCAGTCCAAATAAGTTCCATGTGCAGGCAGGTATGACATCCCTGAAGGGAGCCGATTTATGGACCAAAGACAAACTGAAGAGAGTCTTCCCAAAGTGCCATATGGGGTTCTGTTTCAGTCAACATTCTTATCAATACCTTAGATAACAATGACAAGTTTATCAAATCCAAGGATGATATGAAACTGGAGAAGAGAGCAGAGTTAGGATCCAAAATGATTTCATATTAAGTCAGATAAAAACCAAAGATTAGGTTAAAAACAAGTCTGTCAGTAAAATTTCCATATCAACTGTGACTTCCAGTAACATAGGAAACATCCAAAATTCATTTTAATATTTGTAATATTAGAAAATCAATGAAAAAGAATGCAGGGATCTAGCTATGGTCAAAGATCTTTAGGCCTGGGCAGGAAGTTGATTTCATATATTGAGAGACAAAGAGTCAATCATGTGATCATTTTGGCAGGAATAAGAGAGTCGCAGATTTCTGTGAATAGACTAAGGAAGAAATAGGTAATGTATATGGCTTAAATCCAAAGATGTAGGCCATGTGCCACACCTTCCTTGAATTTATGGAATCAAATATAAATGAGATTTATTGCATCCCATTTAGGGCCCAAGCCAAAAATTCTGATCATTAGTACCTACTTTAACTAGGATGGTACTATCCCTCCTTAAGAGATAAGCATCTTTCAAACTCAGAATTGCAAATTAAGTAGAGAAATATTTTAGAAAATTAAAATCCAGCGATATTAATACTTTTGAATTATGGAAATAATATTCAATTTTTATTGTAATGTTTAGAAATTGCACTTGAGTGATAGCATTGTAACTTCAATTTAAAATATCTAATTAAGTAATTAATTCAGACTTCTGGTTTGCAGTGAAATTCTTACTATATATATACTACTGTGGCACTTAAGAGAACTCAGAGTTCACGATATTTATAAACTTAATTTATTAGATTTATATAGATTACTTCGTCCTTGGGAAAGTTTGCCAATCAGGCAATTGAATTACTCTAAAGAGAAATAAAATGCATTAAACTTATAAATGCAGTATAAAATATGTGAAAGTGTTTAATTAACTAGTTTTTAAATGGGATCAAGTATTGTTCAAAGGCAATTAGAGTGATTGCTAAAAGTGCTAGGCATAACTAGAATAAGAGGATTTGTAAATTGAACTTAAAGCTTAAGGAAGAATGAGGTTATTAAAAATTGGTGACTTTAATAAAATGAATATCAATTTTTCAAAATAAAATAAATGACTGAATAGTCTTTTCTAGGTAGAAAAGCTGTCTTTGGGTGAAACAAAAAAAAACTTCCAGCAGTTTGTCCAGGGTGGAGATGGAACTTCAGCAAGTATGAAAGTGTCCTGGCTGGAGGTCGAGTCCTCAAGGCTCCATTGGAGATTACAGAATGCTGAACCTGCCAAGAGCTGCTGCAATCTTAGGCTATGAGGAGAGGAGAATATGCAGAGAGGAAGCTGATTGCCTGCCTCCGTTCTACACTAATCTGATCGCTTAGTCTTTTATGATCACTCCTGGGAAAAACAAACAAACAAACAAACAAACAAACAAACAAACAAAAAAACCTGTCTTTAAGACCAGCTGTTGCGAATTCTCCTGAGCCAGCGTGATCATTCACTGACTCTGAGGTTCTTTGTTTATTTTTGTAGATAATGGTAGGTACTTTGGTAGATAATAGTTCGTGATGGGTGGGTTAGTGATATTACCCTCTCACAAAATCCCTACCAGGTTATAACAAAAGCAGGTCTCCAACCAAATTCTGCCACACATCTCCCAGACGTTTATTAAACAAACATCTATTGATAAGGAGACCCCAAAGAGTTCACACAATCTGAAATCCCAGCTCTCTGTTCTTTTATGTAATCTGACCATACTTTTTCATAAAGAAATCACTAGAAGCAGATGTGACAGTATTTCAGTGGCAGAAATCTATAAGTCTTATGGAACAGCTGGCTTCTAAAACTTAACTCTCACAAGGATACAGGATTAGACTTCTAAGGCAGTTTAGCAGAACCTAACAAATTCTCAAGAGAAAAGAGCCTGAGACACAGACAGAGACACAAGTCTTGGTTCAAATAGTGGCTGTCACCATGCACTGACTGGGGAATATTACACAATCTCTTTTGCTTTCCATTTCTTTATAGGAAAGGTAAGGATAATAAAAACTACCTATTTTGAATGTTGTGGGAACTAAAAAATATAATGTACATAGAGTCACATAGTCAGAACTTTTTAAATGTAAAGGTATTATTGCCATTGTTTCATGTGGTTCCAGAGGGAGAGCTATTGATAACATTTATGAAGGAGAATAGAAATGAGTCAATTCAAAGGGAGAATTTTCTGGAAATCATAGTATTATAAAACAGATTAAGTTATCTTTTGCCGAAATAAATTTCTATCAAGGGCAGTACCCAAGGAGAAGCTATTCAAGGTCTTAACAGAAACAAATATTTCAAAAGAGATTTATGCTGAGGGCAGAGAATTAGATAGATGTCTCTACTGCTCTCCAACATAGAGATTCTGGGATATTGGCCTATTTTCATTCCTTGTAGGTATAATTTAGATCCTGTTCATCCATGTGTATTCACAGGAGGGCTCTCTAGCCTTGCAGTTTTATAGATTGAGAACTTAATGTATAGGAATCACTTTTTCTTCTTCTAACTTTATACCCTTTTTCTTAAGCACAGTCAGCATTTATTTGGCACCTTCATTCCTAAGCAGTGTAAATAATTCTCTGCTTTTATTCACCAATGAAAGTGCATACACATTCACCAGTCTCACATTTTGCATTTCCCAATCTACAACCTAGTCACAAATGCCTTCAAACAACCACACCCCTGCTGTATTTGTGTTAAAGGCTACGTCTCTACTGAAACAATAAAACCTTGTTTCTGGAATTAAAACTGTGCCCTGGGGTGCCTCTCTAGCTTTCTGCCATTTGTACTTTTATGTTATTTGATTCTTGCACAATTTTTGTATATTTACCTGCATCCCTGCTCCTTTTTCCACCTGAAAAAGCTACACTCAGCTCTTGGCTTACAAGATTCCCGCTATAATATTGCTATCTATAAATAAATCACTTCCTGACCATCCCCCACCAAGCCTAAATCTTGGACCCCACCTCTGACTTTGCTTTGGTGTACTGTTCATCTTTTCGACTTCTTGGTTATATTTCACCTCAGGATTCCCCTGACACTCCAACCCGTTTGTTAGTTTCATGGTAACTTTTAACAAATTATAACCAATTTTAACCAGCTCATAGTGTTTCTTGTGCCCACTGCTTCATGCATGATGAGCCAGAGGAATCCCTTCGTCCTTGATGAATAGACTAATCATAGAATCATATAAATGATTTAAAAACATTTAAATATTTTCAGCATCAATAATAAATAAGCACAGAGGCAAGAGGGTACTATTTTTCACCTACAAATTTAGCAGAAATTAAAAACCAGTTGTGCACTCCACACCTGATGAAGGTGTTCTGGGACAGGCATCCATGCCTACTCTATTGATAAAGAGTTTAACGTGGTATACACTTTTGGAAAAGCAGTTTGCAAAACTGTAAAAGAAAACATGACAGATGCATATAAGAAATCATACAGTATATAACTTTGAAGATTGGCATGTTTTCACTCAGCAGAATTCTCTGGAGATTCATTCAAGTTGTTGCATGTATTGACAGTTCATTCCTTTTTATTGCTGAGTAGTATTCCACGGTATAAGTGTACCCAATTTAGCCTGTTAGAAGACATCTGGGTTGTTTCCAGTTTAGGGTTATTATGAATCAAGCTGCTATAAATATTAATGTATAGGCTTTTACATGAATGAATCACCAGGAGTACAACTGCTGGGTCATAGGTTGGTTGTACATTTAGTTTTTAAAGAAACTGCCAATCTGTTTTCCAGAGGGGCTGTCCCATTTTACATTCCCACCAGCAATGAATGAGTGATCTAGTTTTTCCTCATCCTCATCAGCAGTTGATGTTGTCACTATTTCTTATTTTAGTTATTCTGATAGGTGTGTAGTAATATCTCATTGTGGTTTTTATTTGCTTTTCCCTAATAGCTAATAATGTTGAACATCTTCTTGTACATATTTGCCACCTGCATATTATCTTTGGTGAAATCTCATTTGTCTTTTGCCAATTTAGGATTGAATTGTTTGCTTTGTTTACTGTTTAACTTTTAAAAATTGATAAATAATTAGCACATCATAATATTCTCCCTTTAAAAATATACAAGTTAGTAGTTTTAGCATATTCAAAAGGTTGTGTAACCATCACATATTCTGTAATTTCAGAACACGTTAATCAGCTCCAAAAGAAACTCCATCTCCATGAGCAATCACTTCCCATTTCTGCCTCCCTCATACCTTAACGACCTCGAAGCTGTGTTTTATCTCTATAGATTTGCCTATCCTGTGCATTAAATATATATAGGATCATACACTATGTGGCCTTTTGTGACTACCTTCTCTTACCTGGCTTATATTTTCAAGATTTGTCTATGATGTAGCATGTATCAGTACTTCCTTCCTTTTTATTGCTGAATAATATTGCATTGTATAGATATGCCACATTTTGTATATCTGTTTATTGATAATTTAGTTTACACTTTGGGATTATTATAAATAATGCTGCTATGAACATTCATATATAAGTTTTTGTATGCACATATTTCATTTCTGTTGGGCATATATTCAGGAGTCGAATCTGTGTCATATGACGGCACTATGTTTAATTTTTGGAGAAATGCCAAACTGCTCACCAAAAGCTATTTCACCACTTTACATTCCTACTAGCAATGTGTGAGTGTATCGGTGAGCTTTTAGAGTCCCTTATATATTCCATATACTATTTCTTTTCAAATGTGGTTGGCAAATATTTTTACTCAGTTTATATCTTATTTTTTCCACCTCTTAATATGGTCTTTGACAGAAGACTTTAATTTTGATGAAATCCAGTTTATAATTTTTTCCTTTTATAGGCCATGCTTTTATAGTCAAGTTTTAGAACTCCTTGCCTAGCCTTAGATTTCGAATATTTCCTCTATGTGTTTTTCAAAACTTTTTAGTTTTATATTTTACATTTAAGGTTGTGATCCATTTTGAATTAATAAACATATAAGTTGTCTGACAGGTAGAGTTTCATTCTTTTTCCTTATGGATGTCCAATTGCTTCAGCACCTTTTCTTGAAAAGGCTGTCTTTCCTAGTCTATTGAAATGCCTTTCCATCTTTAGCAAACATCAGCCAGGCAAATATATGTAAGTCTCTTTGTGGTTCTCTAGTCTGTTCCATTGATCTACAAATGTATCCCCTTGTGAATACTACACAGTCTTGTAGTTGTATAAGTGAAATTTCAGAGCCTCATTCCTTCTTTATTATTTCCCAAAATTCTTTTAGCTATTCCAGTTCCTTTGCCTTAACATATAATTTTATATATATATATAAAATTTATATACATATACTCTTGTCTATATCTAAAAATAGTCTTGCTGATACTATTTGCCTATTTTTGGTAGAAGTTTTGTTAAAGCTATATATCAATTTGAAAAGAACTGACATCTTTACCATGTTGAATCATCCAATCTATGAAAATGGTGTGTCTCTAAGTTTATAATATTCTTTGATTTTTTTCCATCAGCATTTTGTAGTTTTCATTATACAAGTCCTGCACACATTTTGTTAGATTTACATCAAAATATTTTCTTTTGAGTGATTATAAATGGTATTTTACTTTTAATTTTGGGTCCATGGACTCACTGATGGTATATAAAAATAAAATTGTTTTTTGTTTATCTCATATCTGTCAACATTGCTGAACTTGCTTATTAGCTGTAGAAATTTTTTGTGTAGATTCCTTGGAATTTTCCACATAGACCGTTGTGATATATGCAAATCAGAGCAATTTTATTTCCTCTTTTTCAGTCTGCCTTTTATTGTATCTTCTCACCTTATTGCACTGGCTAGCACTCCATTGAATTAGAAGAGTAAGAGCAAATATCCTTACTTTGTTCCTAATCTTAGGGGTACAGCATTCAGTTTTTTACTATTATATTTTTATTTTTTATTATACTTTAAGTTCTGGGGTACATGTGTAGAATGTGCAGGTTTGTTACATAGGTATATACATGTGCTATGGTGGTTTGCTGCACCCATCAACCCATCAACCCATCATCTATGTTAGGTATTTCTCCTAATGCTATCCTCCCCTAGCTCCCCACCCCCTGACCGGCCCTGGTGTGTGATATTCCCCTTCCCTGTGTCCATATGTTCTCACTGTTCAACTCCCACTTATGAGTGAGAACATGCAGTGTTTGGTTTTCTGTTCTTGTGTTAGTTTGCTGAGAATGATGGTTTCCAGCTTCATCTATGTCCCTGCAAAGGACATGAACTCAACCTTTCTTATGGCTGCATAGTATTCCATGGTGGATATGTGCCACGTTTTCTTTATCCAGTCTATCATTGATGGGCATTTGGGTTGGTTCCAAGTCTTTGCTATTGTGAACAGTGCTGCAATAAACATACACATGCATGTGTCTTTATAGTAGCATGATAGATAATCCTTCGGGTATATACCCAGTAATGGGATCGCTGGGTCAAATGGTATTTCTAGTTCTAGATTGTTGAGGAATCACCACACTGTCTTCCACAATGGTTGAACTAATTTGCACTCCCAGCAACAGTGTAAAAGAGTTCCTATTTCTCCACATCCTCCCCAGCATCTGTTGTTTCCTGACTTTTTAATGATCTCCATTCTAACTGGCATGAGATGGTATCTCGTTGTGGTTTTGATTTACATTTCTCTAATGACCAGTGATGATGAGCTTTTTTTCATGTTTGTTGGCTGCATAAATGTCTTCTTTTGAAAAGTGTCTGTTCGTATCCTTTGCCCACTTTTTGATGGAGTTGTTTGTTTTTTTCATGTTAGTTTGTTTAAGTTCTTTGTAGATTCTGGATATTAGCCCTCCGTCAGATGGATAGATTGCAAAAAGTTTTCTCCCATTCTATAGGTTGTCTGTTCACTCTAATGATAGTTTCTTTTGCTGTGCAGAAGCTCTTTAGTCTAATTAGATCCCATTTGTCAATTTTGGCTTTTATTGCCATTGCTTTTTGTGTTTTAGTCATGAAGTCTTTCCCCATACCTATGTAGTGAATGATATTGCCTAGGTTTTCTTCTTTGGTTTTTATGGTTTTAGGTCTAACATTTAAGTCTTAAATCCATCTTGAGTTAATTTTTGTATAAGGTGTAAGGAAGGGGTCCAGTTTCAGTTTTCTGCATATGGCTAGCCAGTTTTCCCAGCACTATTTATTAAATAGGGAATCCTTTCCCCATTGCTTGTTTTTGTCAGGTTTCTCAAAGGTCAGATGGTTATAGATGTGTGGTGTTATTTCTGAGGACTCTATTCTGTTCCATTGGTCTATATATCTGTTTTGGTACCAGTACCATGCTGTTTTGGTTACTATAGCCTTGTAGTATAGTTTGAAGTCAGGTAGCGTGAGGCCTCCAACTTTGTTCTTTTTGCTTAGGATTTTTTTGGCTATGTGGGCTCTTTTTTGGTTCCATATGAAATTTAAAGTATTTTTTCTAATTCTGTGAAGAAAGTCAATGGTAGCTTGATGGGAACAGCATTGAATCTATAAATTACTTTGGGCAGTATGGCCATTTTCATGATATTGATTCTTCCTATCCATGAGCATGGAATCTTTTTCCATTTGTTTCTGTCCTCTCTTATTTCCTTGAGCAGTTGTTTGTAGTTCTCCTTGAAGAGGTCCTTCACATCCCTTGTAAGTTGTATTCCTAGATATTTTATTCTCTTAGTAGCAATTGTGAATGGGAGTTCACTCATGATTTGGCTCTCTGTCTCTTATTGATATATAGGAATGCTTGTGATTTTTGCATGTTGATTTTGTATCCTGAAACTTTGCTGAAGTTGTTTATCAGCTTAAGGAGATTTTGGGCTGAGACGATGGGGTTTTCTAAATATACAATCATGTCATCTGCAAACAGAGACAATTTGACTTCCTCTCTTCCTTTTTGAATACCCTTTATTTCTTTCTCTTGCCTGATTGCCCTGGCCAGAACTTCCAATACAATGTTGAATAGGAGTGGTGAGAGAGGGCATCCTTGTCTTGTGCCAGTTTTCAAAGGGAATGCTTCCAGCTTTTGCCCATTCAGTATGATATTGGCTGCGGGTTTGTCATAAATAGCTCTTATTATTTTGAGATACATTCCATCAATACCTAGTTTATTGAGAATTTTTAGCATGAAGGGCTGTTGAATTTTGTCAAAGGCCTTTTCTGCATCTGTTGAGATAATCGTGGTTTTTGTCATTGGTTCTGTTTATGTGATGGATTATGTTTATTGATTTGCATATGTTGAACCAGCCTTGCATCCCAAGGATGAAGCTGATTTGGTTGTGGTAGATAAGCTTTTTGATGTGCTGCTGGATTTGGTTTGCCAGTATTTTATTGAGGATTTTTGCATAGATGTTCATCAGAGATATTGGCCTGAAATTTTCTGGTTTTGTTGTGTCTCTGTTAGGTTTTCGTATCAGGATGATGCTGGCCTCATAAAATGAGTTAGGGAGGATTCCCTCTTTTTCTATTGTTTGGAATAGTTTGAGAAGGAATGGTACCAGCTCCTCTTTGTACCTCTGGTAGAATTTGGCTGTGAATCCATCTGGTCCTGGACTTTTTTTGGTTGGTAGGCTATTAATTGCTGCCTCAATTTCAGAACTTGTTATTGTTCTATCTGGGGATTTGACTTCTTCCTGGTGTAGATTTGGAAGAGTGTATTGTTCAGGAAGTTATTCATTTCTTCTAGATTTTCTAGCTTATTTGCATAGCGGTGTTTATAATATCCTCTGATAGTAGTTTGTATTTCTGTGGGATCAGTGGTGATATCCTCTTTGTCATTTTTTATTGCGTCTATTTGATTCTTCTCTCTTCTTTATTTGTCTTGCTAGTGGTCTATCTATTCTGTTGATCTTTTCAGAAAAACAGCTCCTGGATTCATTGATTTTTTGAAGGGTTTTCCGTATCTCTGTCTCCTTCAGTTCTGCTCTGATCTTTGTTATTTCTTGTCTTCTGCTAGCTTTTGAATTTGCTTGCTCTTGCTTCTCTAGTTCTTTTAATTGTGATGTTAGAGTGTCAATTTTAGATCTTTCCTGCTTTCTCTTGTGGTCATTTAATGCTATAAATTTTCCTCTATACACTGCTTCAAATGTGTCCCAGAGATTCTGGTACATTGTGTATTTGTTCTCACTGGTTTCAAATAACTTACTTATTTCTGCCTTAATTTTGTTGTTTACCCAGTAGTCATTCAGGAGCAGATTGTTGAGTTTCCATGTAGTTATGCGGTTTTGAGTGAGTTTCTTAATCCTGAGTTCTAATTTGATTGCCCTGTGGTCTTAGAGACTGTTTATTATGATTTCCATTCTTTTGCATTCACTGAGGAGTGTTTTACTTCCAATTATGTGGTCAATTTTAGAATAAGTGCAAGGTGGTACTGAGAAGAATGTATATTCTGTTGACTTAGGGTGGAGAGTTCTGTAGATGTCTACTAGGTCAACTTGGTCCAGAGCTGAGTTCGAATCCTGAATATCCTTGTTAATTTTCTGTCTCATTGATCTGTCTGATATTGACAGTGGGGTGTTAAAGTCTCCCATTATGATTGTGTGGGAGTCTAAGTCTCTTGGTGGGTTTCTAAGAACTTGCTTTATGAATCTGAGTGCTCCTGTATTGGGTGCATATATATTTAGGATAGTTAGCTCTTCTTGATGCATTGATCCCTTTATCATTATGTAATGCCCTCCTCTGTCTCTTTTGATCTTTGTTGGTTTAAGGGATGTTTTGTCAGAGACTAAGATTGCAACCCCTGCTTTTTTTTTTTTTTTTTTTTTGCTTTCCTTTGCTTGGTAAATATTCCTCCATCCATTTATTTTGAGCCTACATGTGTCTTTGCACATGAGATGGGTCTCCTGAATACAGCACACCAATGGGTCTTGACTCTTTATCCGATTTGCCAGTCTGTGTCTTTTAATTGGGGCATTTAGCCCATTTACATTTAAGTTTACTATTGTTATGTGTGAGTTTGATCCTGTCATTATGATGCTAGCTGGTTATTTTACCCGTTAGTTGGTGCAGTTTCTTCATAGTGTCGATGATCTTTACCATTTGGTATGTTTTTGTACTGGCTGGTACCAGTTGTTCCTTTCCATGTTTAGTGCTTCCTTCAGGAGCTCTTGTAAGGCAGGCTTGCTGTTGACAAAATCTCTCAGCATTTGCGTGTCTGTAAAGGATTTTATTTCTTCTTCACTTATGAAGCTTAGTTTGGCTGGATATGAATTTCTGGGTTGAAACTTCTTTTAAGAATGTTAAATATTGGCCCCCACTCTCTTCTGGCTTGTAGGTTTTTACTGAGAGATCTGCTGTTAGTCTGATGGGCTTCCCTTTGTGGGTAACCCAACCTTTCTCTCTGGCTGCCCTTAACATTTATTCCTTCATTTCAATCTTGGTGAATCTGATGATTATGTATCTTGGGGTTGCTCTTCTCGAGGCATATCTTTGTGGGGTTCTCTGTATTTCCTGAATTTGAATGTTGGCCTGTCATGTTAGGTTGGGGAAGTCCTCCTGGATAATATCCTGAAGAGTGTTTTCCAACTTGGTTCCTTTCTCCCCATCACTTTCAGGTACACCAATCAAATGTATATATGGTCTTTTCACATAGTCCCATATTTCTTGGAAGCTTTGTTTATTCCTTTTCATTCTTTTTTCTCTAATCTTGTCTTCCTGTTTTATTTCATTAAGTTGATCTTCAATCTCTGATATCCTTTCTTACGCTTGATTGATTTGGCTATTGATACTTGTGTATGCTTCACGAAGTTTTCGTGCTGTGTTTTTCAGCTCCATTGGGTCATTTATGTTCTTTTCTAAACTGGTTATTCTAGTTAACCTTTTGTCAAGGTTCTTAGCTTCCTTGCATTGGGTTAGAACATGCTCCTTTAGCTCAGAGGAGTTTGTTATTACCCACCTTCTGAAGCCTACTTCTGTCAATTCATCAAACTCATTCTCTGTCCAATTTTGTTCCCTTGCTGGCAAGGAGTTGTGATCCTTTGGAGGAGAAGAGGTGTTTTGGTTTTTGGAATTTTCAGCCTTTTTATGCTGGTTTCTTCCCATCTTCGTGGATTTATCTACCTTTAGTCTTTGATGTTGGTGACCTTCGGAAGGGGTCTCTGAGTCGATGTCCTTTTTGTTGATGTTGATGTTATTGCTTTCTGTTTGTTTTCCTTCTCATAGTCAGGCCCCTATGCTGCAGGTCTGCTGGAGTTTACTGGAGGTCCACTCCAGACCCTGTTTGCTTGGGTATCACCAGTGGATGCTGTCGAACAGCAAAGATTGCTGCCTGTTCCTTCCTCTGGAAGCTTCATCCCAGAGGGGCACAGCCAGATGCCAGCCAGAGCTCTCCTCTATGAGGTGTCTGTCAGCCCCTGCTGGGCTGTGTCTCCCAGTCAGGAGACACAGGGGTCAGGGATCCACTTAAAGAGACAGTCTGACCCTTAGCAGAGCTCAAACGCTGTGCTGGGGGATCCGCTGCTCTCTTCAGAGCTGTCAGGCAGGGACGTTTAAGTCTCCTGAAGCTGTGCCCACAGCCATCCCTTCCCCCAGGTCCTCTGTCCCAGGAAGATGGTGGTTTTATCTACAAGCCCCTGACTGGGGCTCTGCCTTTTTTCAGAGATGCCCTGCCCAGAGAGGAGGAATCTAGAGAGGCAGTCTGGCTACAGTGGCTTTGTTGAACTTCAGAGGGCTCTGCCCAGTTGGAACTTCCCAGCAGCTTTGTTTACACTGTGAGGGTAAAACCGCCTACTCAAGCCTTAGTAATGGTGGACGCCCCTCCCCACAACAAGCTCCAGTGGCCCAGGTCAACTTCAGACTTCTGTGTTGGCAGCAAGAATTTCAATCCAGTGGATCTTAGCTTGCTGGGCTCCATGGCGGTGGGATCTGCTGAGCTAGACCACTTGGGTCCCTGGCTTCAGACTCCTTTCCAGGGGAGTGAACGGTTCTGTCTTGCTGGCATTCCAGGCACCACTGGGGTATGAAAAAACAAACAAACAAACAAACAAACAAACTCCTGCAGCTAGCTTGGTTTCTGCCCAAACGGCCACCCAGTTTTGTGCTTGAAATCCAGGGCCCTAGTGACGTAGGCACCAGAGGGAATCTCCTGGTCTGCAGTTGTGAAGACTGTGGGAAAAGCGTAGTATCTGGGCCGGAGTTCACCGTTCCTCATAGCACAGCCCCTCATCACTTCCCTTGCCTAGGGGAGGGAGTTCCCCAACCCCTTGTGCTTCCCAGGTGAGGTGACACCCCACCCTGCTTCTGCTCACCTTCCATGGCCTGTACCCACTGTCTAACCAGTCCCAATGAGATGAATGGGGTACCTGTTGGAAATGCAGAAATCACCCACCTTCTGCGTTGATCTCGCTGGGAGCTACAGACCAGAGCTGTTCCTATTCGGCCATCTTGCCAGCAATACCCTCAGTCTTTTACTATTAAGTGTAATTTTGTAGTTTTTTATAGATGCTTTTTATCCAGTTGAGAAAATTCCCATTTCTATTTTTCTTAGAATTTTTTTTTCATGAATGGGTTTTGAATTCCATCAAATGATTTTTCTGCACTGATCAATATGATCATGTAACTTTTCCTCTGCCCTTTCTAAAGCTGAGTACAGGTTCTCATTTTCCTTTTTCCTTCCTGACATCCTCTGCCTGATATTCTACCTGCTGCAACTTCTGCTAGGGCACTTTCATCCTTTTCTACTCATTCCAGGTTGGCTTCTTCCCAGAATAAGAGCTTGGTTTACTCCCTGATACGGCTGATATTTCCCAGCTTTTTTCTTCAACAGGAGCCACCTTCTAATTATGGATTTATTGTTCATCTTCATGTGAATATTCTGTCTTTATTGAGGTTTATTTTTCTGCACACATCACCTTTACTCCTTATCTATCTCCTTCCCCCATAAGTACTTTTAGTGCTTCTGCTTCTTTTATCATCTCAGGTAGTTTATTTGTATTCTGGGTACAGGTACTCTGCTCAGCTCCAGTCCTTTTATGCCAAGTTCTTGAAAATGCCAGCCATCCCAGCTGCCCTGTTATTGTGCCATGATCTTCAACACTTGGAATAGACTCCTCATGACTGAAATTACATGAATTTTTTTTTTTTTTTACCAAAGACTATCTCCCAAGAAGATGCTTTATCTGTGATGATTAAAGTTTTCTGCATTCATCATCCCACTCCTGAAGCTTTGGTTTAAATAGGTTTAGTTGTTCCTTTCATAGTTTTCCCAAAAATTCTGGTCCTGTTTCTCCCGCTAATGCTCAAAGTGAACTTGGCATTTCTACTTGTGTGAGACCCTCCTCAAATTTTCTGTTTATAGGAATAAGATGGAAAACATAGCCCCCAGGGCTCATCAAATTGAGCAGTAGCAAGGCTTTCCACATCACACTTTTGTGGGCCATCATACTGACATGCACCTACTCTGGAATAGAGAAGATCTTCCTGCCATTTGCTTCCTGACTCCACACAACCCCAGCCCATGGAAGCTGCCTCTGCTCTTGGCCTTCTATCTCTATTTCTCCTGTACTTACAAGAACAAAATTGGATGCAGGTTGTAGATTTGTTTTTATTTTCTCCTCTCCTCATCTCCCAAAGGACTTTCTGCAGTTGACACACAATGTCACCTGTTTGAATTTTTTTTTTCTGCCTTCTTTCCTGTTCCTGCCCCTGCCAGTTCCACCATCTTGACCTTTCCCATATTCTATCTCCTAGGCTGTCTACCTGGATGATTGCCACAGGCCTGCCACCCTTTCCCATATCCGTCCTTCATTCCTTCACCTCTCATTTAGTGGTCAAGAAAAATGCACAACCGGCACACCCACCACTCTGGGAACATGCCTTCCATTCTCATAGCACACCTTTCCAATAGACAAGTAGGTATTATTCTTTCTATACAACAAATGAGAAAAAAATATTGTCAAGATAAAAGAGCAGCTGGTTAAGAGCAGGGCCAATGCTGCTTCTGACTTCTAGCTAAATCATGTGGGACTGCAGAAAGGGGAAAATCCCTCCCACATTAGTCTCCATTTTTCTGCTCAGGTAGTGACTTATGCCTTATCTAATCAGATACTTTCTACGTAAACATCATTGGCTGGCCCAGAGTTATCATCATTAACTTCCTTAACATAAATAATCATGGATGGAGGAAAGACTGGTAATTCTCAGAATCACTATATGTAACGCTTTCTGTTCTTGACATTTCACTATTAGAAAGAGAAGTGTCAGGAATACCCATTGGCCTGAGATTATGAAGATGACTGAGGTGGGAGTTGTAGCATTGATGCCTGTTATCAGAAGAAGGTCTTAAGTCAACCAGCAGGACAAAGTCCCTCTCCCCACTTCACCATAAGAACAAGGAAGATGCAGGCTGACTAGAGAGGATGGAGCCCAGATAACACCGTATCAGAGATGGAGTCAGGTGTGAGCTTTGAGAATAGCTGCTTCTGTCATGCCTAGAGTTTTGGGACAAAGGCTGTCTCTTTTTATGTCTTACAAAGGCATAGTATGGGACATGGAAGAACAAAAAGCTGTCACTTCAATTCCTTCCTTCAAAAAGTAAAAGGTCATTTGTTTTTGTCCACTATTAGTTTTTCAACAAAACAAGCCAGAGAAGTTTCTCTGTGTGTAGCTGATAGGTGTCCTTGACCAGGGAGTGGCCTTCTTGCTCAAATTGCCACACCACTTTGGGAGGAAGCTGTGTGGAATAGTGAGGGAGAATAGGGACAGCCACCTAACCAGCCAGATTAGTTGAATCAGCCCTGCAGATCAGCACAATGACAGATGTCCCAACCAGATGGTGCACACATCCACTTCATAAATACACCAAAGAAGTCTGGAATCTAGGGGAAAAAGCTTTTCTGCCATGAGTGCTCCTGCCCAGGAACAATTGGCTGACACCACTCTACTGAAAGTCAGGCTCAGAGAAACCACAACTTCTCTGCCATGTATGTAGTGGTAAAATCCTGCCCCATGTTTCTTAATTCCCATCTTTGATGCCTGAAATCTCACCATTAGCACCCTATTCTTTGGTTTAAGGATTTCTGCTATACAAATACATTTATAAAAACCAAGATAAGAGTTTTCAGTTCTTATGTTGAAAGAATTACATATACTTTTTGAGAGCAAGTTTACATGTGAGGGAAGTGTGGTGGTTAATTTTATCTGTAAACTTGACTGGACCCAGATGTCTGATTAAACATTCTTTTCAGGTGTGTCTGTGAGAGTGTTTCCGGAAGAGATTAGCATTTGAATTGGTAAACTGAATAAAGCAGATGGCCCTCCCTAGTGTGAGTGGCATTATCCTATCCATTGATAGCTGAATAGAACAAAAAAGCAGAGGAATTTGGAATCATCTTCCTTCTACCTGACTGAGCTAGGACATCAGTCTTCTGTCATTGGTACTCATGGTTGTCAGGCCTTCAGACCTGGACTGAAATCTACACCATTGGTTCTCAGGCTTTCAAACACCAACACTAGCTTTCCTGGGTCTCCAGCTTGAAGATGGCAGATCATGGGACTTCTCATCTTCCATAATTGTGTGTACCAGTACCTTATAATAAATCTTATTGGTTCTGTTTCTCTGGAGACTACTTTTCTTAGTTTCTAATGTTTCTTCTAATACCGTAAGAAAGGTCATGAAAAAAGGGGAAGTTTGAATGGCAAGGTTAGGTTTCCTAAGTGGTAGCATGGAAAAGGTAAAGATTAGCTCTGCCATCCTGGATAAGATATTTCACTCTGAGCAATTAAACATCCCTCAACTGAGACAAGCATGGTGACCTCACAGTGTTGTGGAAGGCCCATATGTGAAATGATATATATCACAACCCCTCAGGTGTCCTGCACATGCAATAAAAGGAAGCAGCTATTTTTCACACCCTTCCTGGGTGCTGCTATCACACTTTTTTAATGTCCCTCTGAGCTAATTGTCCTCCTCAAGAACTCACATCAAATACCCCCTCATTATCACATCCGACAAAGCAAATCCTAGCTATTAATGACAAATTGGAATGTTCCAGTTACCTCTCTGTCCTAGAAAGCAGCACTCCTCTGCTCTGTGATGAACATTTGCTTTTCAGAAACTAGCCCTGGGATTTTAAGGAACGAGCCAGTGAGACAGCCCCTAAGTAGACCTGATGAGGTTCCTTGCCTACTCCCTTCTCCCAGATATCCAGTTACATTGTCACAAAGCCCAGGGAAAAGAGAAAACAGGAGGTGGTCTATGGCCCCCAAGAAAAGAAGTGACTGTCGCCCCTTTTTTCAGGGTGCCTGAGACCAGCACTGGGACTAGCACTACAGTTAGGAGCTGGTACAGTTTGGCTCTTTGTCTCTGCCCAAATCTCATGTGGAAATGTAATCTCAGTGTGTTAAAGGTGGGGCCTGGTGGGAGCTGATTGGATCATGGGGGTAATTTGTAATGGTTTTTCACCATCACCGTTCCCCTAGTGCTGTCTCGTGATAGAGTTCTCACAAGATCTGATGGTTTAAAAGTGTGTGGCACTCGCCTGCTTCACTCTTTCTCTCTTGTCACCTTTGCCTTTGCCCTTTGCCTTCTACCATAATTGTAAGTTTCCTGAGGCCTTTCAATCATGTTTCCTGTTAAGCCTGCAGAACTGTGAGTCAATTAATCCACTTTTTTTCATAAATTACCCAATCTCAGGTAGTTCCTTATTACCTGAATTAGTGTGAAAACAGACTAATATAGGACCCTACTGGAGACGTGGCTCAGGATTGGGACTACCCGAAGTGATAGGTAGAATAGAGCACCTGGGGCTCTACAGCAGCTGTTTAGACATTAATAGGACTCATAACTCCCTTCTACTTAGTTATGTCTTAGAATCCCCTAACAACCACAGCACTATACAGTGTGTTCCTCCAGTGGATGTCTCTGTCATTGATTTCTTCCAGGCCTCAGCTATCATTTTTAAAAGGAAGCTGGGTCAGTTGCAAACAAGAGTTTGTGTAAGAGTGCAATAGTGGTGGTGAAAGTCCCAGAAAACCAGTCACAGAAAAACTGCCTAAAGGAACTGAGGTTGTTAAAAGGACAAGGGGAGCAGGATGTGAAAGGTTATTGCATTGGAGAAAGAGCCAGCTCATTCTGTGCAGCCCTGAGCTCAGCTGGGACCAATGTGTTGGTGGAAATTAATAGCAGCATTGGGCTCAGAAAGGTTGCAGCTAATAAATAAAGCTGCTCAACTTGAAATCAGCAAATTAATGCATTCTTAGAATTCTCCACTACACTTGTTCTTAGCCAAAAGGCCGAGAAGCGATTAGAATTCTCTTTCTATGAGGCTTTCACATAGCCACATGGATCTCCTGGTGCTAAGCCATGCATTAGTGGCACCGTGTACTGTGCAAGGGAATAGATTAATTTCATATTCCTTCTATGAAGTTATGTTCAGAAGGAAGCCTAATGGAGACATGCAATAAAAGAAAAGATGACCCTCTTTTTCTGCCCTGATTCATGAGCTGCTTGCTGTTGTATAGGCTTTTCTTAGGTGTACTGGGATCTCAAGTACTACAGGGTTGCGACCTGAGGTATAATCCCACTTCTCTTACTGACTTGTGCCCCCTTCTCCTATGGGAGGAATAATTGACTCAGCCCTTTTGAATATGCTGGATAGAGATGTGATGAAGAATCTGGAGAAATAAAAAAAAAGTAGCATTAAAAAGATTTGACTATGTCAAGGAGGAATGATGTGAAGGCTCTAAGAAGAGTTGCCAGTCTTTCTTTTATACACTCATTGAACTTGCAGCCCAGGAAGACATCATCTTCTCTGGGACCCTCTTTCATCACTCCCCTGTGTGGTCAGTGCCTCCAAGCCACACAGCCTGTCCTGCTTGACCTCTGACCGGGAGTCTGGACCTTTCTTTCCCTTCTCCATCCATCAAAATTCACTGGTGCTGTTTCCTCAGGGTCTTGGTCCCCGCAGTATAGTAAATTAATGGCCAGTGCCCTTCAGGGCTTCTATCAAAGAGAATTAATGGGACAAATTTTCAGGCATTGAGACTAGATGGGAAGTATTTCTGTCCAGGAGTGACTTCCTCAAAACATAGCACCTAGGTTTCTTTTCTAGCTCAGAGGTTTTCAAACTCTTTTGCTTTTATATCCCCTATAAGAATTGTATTAAAGTATGTACTGTCATGTAATTTTTATGAATAGTAATGTTTTTCATCATATATTTAAACACTTTAAAGGATGTAATTTGGGGCATATTATAAATGTTTTCATGTTAAAATGAAAGTTGAATTTCTCCCATAATGTATATAGTTGAATCTAAACACCATGAAAATGGATAACCCACCATCATTCCATTTTTAAAAACAAATACTATGTTGAATAGGAGTGGTGAGAGAGGGCATCCCTGTCTTGTGCCAGTTTTCAAAGGGAATGCTTCCAGTTTTTGCCCATTCAGTATGATATTGACTGTGGGTTTGTCATAGATAGCTCTTATTATTTTGAGATATGTCCCATCAATACCTAATTTATTGAGAGTTTTTAGCATGAAGGGCTTTTGAATTTTGTCAAAGGCCTTTTCTGCATCTATTGAGATAATCATGTGGTTTTTGTCTTTGGTTCTGTTTATATGCTGGATTACATTTATTGATTTGCGTATATTGAACCAGCCTTGCATCCCAGGGATGAAGCCCACTTGATCATGGTGGATAAGCTTTTTGATGTGCTGCTGGATTCGGTTTGCCAGTATTTTATTGAGGATTTTTGCATCAGTGTTCATCAAGGATATTGGTCTAAAATTCTCTTTTTTGGTTGTGTCTCTGCCCAGCTTTGGTATCAGGATGATGCTGGCCTCATAAAATGAGTTAGGGAGGATTCCCTTTTTTTCTATTGATTGGAATAGTTTCAGAAAGTATAATAAAAAAAAATGCAAACACCCCCAGAGTGTTGCATTCTTTAAAAAACAAAACAAAACAAAACAAATACTTCCGTAACTTTTAGGAATCTGACTTTCTTTTTCTACTTGAACTTAAATTTTTATTCAACTTCCTCCAAAGATCTTTACCTTAATGTAACATAATTTTGTTTGAAAATACTGCTTACGCTATCACATGTATCCGCAATTGAAATATACCTAAATTCAATTTTTTACTTTTATTTTGTTACCATAAAGCTCTGAACATTAAAAAAATTTATGCAATTGAATTATTATCAATACACTACTGATTAAACAAACATATTATTAAACACAAAAAGTAAAATTATATTGCAAATGCATCCTTTAATGAGATGATAAACTTTTTTCAGTTAGTTCCTTTATCTGTAAATGAACATTACTTACTGCTGAAATAAGGGGTCAGTATCAATTCTATTTCTATTTTTTTTTTTTTGTTTTTATAGATGTAAGTTGAAGGAATTGAGAGTGTTTTATTATAGCAATGTAATTCAGTTCTTTGAATTCCTTCTATGTTATATGTCAACATTTGTGTAATGGTCTATTAGCAAAAATATTTTTAATCTTCGGGCACATGACAATTTGATAAAGTCCTTCTTCATTTCTTTTAAACAGTGAACTAGGAAGCACCTGACTAGCAAAGAGATTTGTTCTCCAGCAATTTGAATAATTTACTTTCTCAATTTCTGGGAAGTATACCAAGAGAGCTTTACTAAGATTCATCAAATTATTGTTAATTGTGCTGTAACACTTGTACTTAGGCCCACCTTTTAAAACCCGTATCACCAGAAATGGCAGGAAAATCAAACAAATTTTTAGTTTTATTACATGTTTGCCAAAACAATGCTTTTTGATAAAATGCTTTGATCTTATTTCTTGTTTTAAATGTATTGCCACTAATTTGGAGTTGCAGATTTAGCTCATTTATGAAAAATATCTGTCATAAAACCTCATTGGCAGGGCCAGTCTTCACTGTCAAACCAGTCAGCCAAATCAGATACACTTTCTGTGAGAAAAAGTTTTTCATTCTTCAATTCAAATAGCTATTTTGAGGAATATTATAAAAATCAATGAGAACTAAAAGTATATCTTATGAAACTGATCACTAAAAACAATTAAGATAAAGATCTAATATAATTGATTTTTCCATGTTTAAGTTATAAAAACAAGATGACCAATACACTATTTCTCATATAAAGCAGGAAAATGATAAAAGGCATGGTATATCTGTAGTAAAATTATGTACGGGCATTGAATACTGCTGACTGGCTTTGGAGAATGATTAAACAAGAAATATGTTATAAGATAAAATGGTAGAAACAACTATAGTTTGAGTATGTTCCCCAAGTTTCATATGTTGAAAAATTAATCCTCAAATTCATATGTTGATGGAGTAGACCCCATGATGGGACCCAAGGCTTTATAAGAAGAGGAGGGACCTGAGTTGAAATGCACTTTTTGCCCTTCCACCCTTCTATCACAATTTGAGGCAGCAAGAAGGCCCTCACCAGATGTTGAGCAAATTCCAATGTCAGGCTCTTGGACTTCCCAATCTCCAGAACCATGAGCCGAATGTTTCTTTTTTAAAATAAATTATCCAGTCCGGTGTCTTGTTACAGCAACAGAAAATAGACTAAGACAAGAATTGAATAAAATTGAATAAATGTTTCATGTTATGGTTTGATACAATGGGTTCTGACAACTTTATTAATGAATGCACATCAAATCTGAAAGAACCATGTGAAAGTTTTTATCCTTGGGTTCTATCTGTCTACTGCACCTTATAAAAATTTGGCATTCCCAAAAGCCATTCTGGTTACATTTAAAATAATCAGCATGGCAAATCTATACTGCTTTAGCTCTTCCAAGTTACTTTTTTTCCCAGTCAAGATACATCCTAGGGAAGGATATTGACAATAATGGGAAATAATTGATTATAATTATATGTAAGAAGACATTTTTGGCATTCAGTGCCTTCTACTAATTTTCTTTGTTTCACTCTCCCATGGCTTTCCCTCAAGAGCAAGAAATTCTTTGACAAGAGTCAGGAAGAGAAAACCAAAAAGCCGTTAAAAAAAAAAAATTGTTACCATCACTCCACTTTATCATACATCTGAATTCTGAAAATCTATTTGTGAGTCCAAACACCCAATTTCTATGTTATCTAACATCATAATCAGCTTTAACATGTGTATAAGAGGCAAAAGCCCAAGGCTCTATGGTTTTATGATTAATCATCAAACCTTTCCTCTGTTTGCTACATCTGAGGTTTTTGGTGTCACATTAAGAGCAATGTATTAAGATTTGGGATGGGTAGCCTATATCTTTTTTCTGTGGGAAAAGAAACAGTATGAACAAAGACTCATTCTCAGCAGATCAATTTAAGGAAAGAGTATAGTGTATATAGAGGATCTGGAAATTAATTTCCTGAAAATTGTCCTGAGTATGCAATCCGTGAAAAGCCTTAGGTACACATACCGCAGTTTGAAAATTATGAATTTATCATACCTGCATATAGCTTAACCTGACCCAATCCAAGATTGTTTATCATGTGATCTCAATCCCTGGAGGAGGATGATCAAAGGATTCTAACGAGGGCCCAGGGAGGTAGAGTTGGAATTGCAGCAGAGAAGTTTTGAGTAGCACTGAGGAACCTCTGATTCCAATGTGGTGTTCATGATCCTGTAAGTGTTCCTGCTATCAAAAAATGAGTGCAAAACGTCCCCTGGCCCTTTGTTGGTGAAAATAAGTGCAGCACCGTCCTCCCCAAACCAGATGATTAGTGTTGCTAACTGCCATACCAACAGAGGCAAGCAGATGATATAAATAAATGAAGCAGACAGGATATAAGAAAAGAGGTGATGAGAGTTTGATAAAAAGAGAGGACATGCCTCATCCACAGGTGGAGGCAGCTATTCACCTCCAATCCCACTGTTGCTATATTTTCCACTTTTCTACCTGGATTTTCATGTGAAATCGCCTGAGGCAATTAAATCAACATTGTTATACAACACATTGCAAAACAAATCTCCAGGTTATGTCTGCTCAATGGTTGTTAGCAGTCTCCTCCCAAAGGCAACCTGGTGATATGTTTGCCTCTGGTGAGAGAACAAAGCAGTCTTGAATCAAAATTTGGGTCTTCTGAAGTGAGCCCAGCTATCTCTCCACTTCTTACAATGCTTCACAAAACATTGCTGGATCCTCACACGAATCTTTCAAGTTTAAAGTGCAGAGTCAATCATTACTTCAAGCTTTCTGGAGGCTGAAGAATTGTCATCAGCAACCTCCACAATCCAAAGAGTTGGATGGAACTTTAAACATCATTTATTCCAGCTCCCCTGTTTTTATAGCTTCTCATAACATTCTCTAAATATTAGTATTGGGTCTCATTGAACTTGGATTAATAAATGGAGGCTATGGAATCCCAGTATTATAGTTCCTGGATGCTCTCCTCATACGCCGCTTCAAAGGACTGTAAAAAATTTTCAATAGAAAGAAGTAGCTGTGATGCTAGTTTCAGCCCTTCCTACTTGCAGACCCTGACCTATAATTACCTTGAGCTCTTCAACTTCAGATCATGTGCTATTTTTAAAATATATCCATAAATTCTTTGGTATTCCTTTTAGGAGGTGGAAACTAATTTCCTTCATCCTTGAGTGTGGGCTATACTTAGTGACTTGCTTCTAATGAATAGAATATGATTGATAGATGATGGTGACTTCTGATAATAGGTCATGGCATTTTAGCTTGCTCCCAGCTTTCTCTTGAATTACTTGCTCTTCAGGAAGCCAGAAGTTATGGGGACACTCAAGCAGCACTAGGGAGAGGCTCATGAGTAGAAGAACTGAGGCATCCTGCAAACAGCCATGGACTAACCTGTATTGGGAGCAGATTCTCCAGCTCCACGTAAGTCTTCAGATGATGGTTTTTTTTTTCTTTTTTTTAATAAAAAAAAAATTTTAAAAAGAAAGGTAATTAAATTTAAGAAGGACTTCCCTTATTATATCAAGAGGTTAATACTCAAAATGGTGGTGTGTCATTTTTAAGAATTTTCCTTCAGAATGAAATTCTAATGATCTGGTAAGCAGTTAGTTAGAATTTGGTTCTGCCCTAAGGCTCCTTTCTCTTAATAAGATTAAAAATTGAGGGTAAATAGGAAACTTAAACAAAATCTGAGATGTGCCATTAATTTCAAGTTAAGCTCAATAACCCCCAAATGTAAAAGTCCTTCCTGACATAACACACATATCAAGAACCAAGATTTCTCAGAGAGAATCTGATGCCCACTCTCTCTCTAGAGGCTAAGCTCCCACTGTAGGGGCAATGTTACCTGTTAACTTTAGCTCTTTTTTCTCTCTCTGGCTTTTATCTCACAGGTCTGTTCCTTAGTCTCTGTTGAGGTGAAACTCCAATATCTGAACCCACCAGCCAAATAAGCAACCTGTGTACAAGCCAAGTTAAAATTTCACTCCCGTAATGGATGAGGAGAAACCAGAAGACATTTCTCATGCACAGGGAGTGCATGAATCCCCTGAATTGCCAGGTTTCAGGGTCACATGAGACCTCTAGAAGGCTCTGCTCATCATCACCTTATCATCTGGTAGGTTCCAGGTATCTGGGTACACATGAATTAAGCCTTAATGACTTTAAATTCTGTCTCAAATTTTTATCCTCTTACAAAAGTTTAAGCTTTTTGTCTGAGGAAAAGTGCACATATTCCATGAAGAAGGGAGGTCAGATCTCTTTTGGCAGGGAAAAAGAAAGAATACCACAGAGTGGGTCTTAAAGAATACCACAGAGTGGGTCTTAATGGCAAGGAGTGAGAAAGAGTAAGTTTTGAAGCGTATGGGAATGCCTTGGAAGGGAGAAAAAGTGTAGAAATAAAAGGATCTTGGTCTAATTCTGCTTTGTGTCCAGAGGCAGCTCTGCAAATACCATCTTAATGAGCCACTGCCTAGCCCCTAATCTCATAAAATCCTCAAAAGGGAAAACGCATGAAAGGCAGAGCTGATTCTCTCTCTTTTGATATTTGCCCTTGGGTTTGCTGGCCTGACTTCTGGGGCTCTGGAAACACATGAATTAGCAAGAACCAGAGAAGACATTCAAAACTAGGCCTCTTCAATGATGAGCCAAATCAGACAGTTACCTTACAGCTTGCGTATTTATTGAACAAATACTACTAAAATAGCTAAAATACATTGGGTACTTGTCATGAGTGCATCAGTAAAGATCACACTGTTACAAAAGCCTGCATTTTCAGCAGTACACAACTGCAACTCTACATAAATGCCACAGATGCAGAATACTGTTTTCTTGCTCTATTTACACAGCTGATATACCTATTCTAACGAAGGAGGGAGAGGAGTAATGCACAAGAAACTCAGGCCAATGGGGGAGCAAGAAGAAAACGAAGAAGTGCAGTGCATGCGTCATCGGTGTTTAACAGTCAGAAGCGAAACAGTTCAGAACAAGGCCTGCCCTGTCAAAAGAAGAGCTAAAGACAGTTATATAAAAATTAAGGTGGGCTTTCAGACTGGCTAACACAACAACATTCCATGAGTAGATGGTAATTTATTTTTGTTTATCCATTTCGTTGGGAGCAAGGACAAAAATGTAAATCTACACCTTGCTTATCAAAATTGCCGAAAAAAGAATGCTCTGCCTTTTAAAAAAGTATCATGATTTTGTAGACCTTGTTTTCCAATTTAATATTTGGAAAAGGTGTCATTTTCATATTCCCACTCAGATGCCAGTGTTTTGGGTTTTTTTCCAGGGGGAGTTTATTTAAAACGGTTTTGCTCTTTTTTTCGACAAATATCCTTTCAAACAGAAAGAACCCAAAGAGACACCTCAAAATGCCTGTAAAATTATTGCTTTTCTTTCTCTAAGTCAGGCAGGCGAGGCTACGGAAAGGAAGAGATTTGGTAAGTAAATTACAGTTTTGTGATTGCTCCCGCTACCGTGACTGCATGTCCGTGAGCGCCAGCCAACGAGACAATGGTCTCTCACACTCTGGTAGCATTCGCTCAACCTACAACACTGAGGAAGAAAGCCACACTGAAGACACAAGGAAAACAAGTCAATCCAGTCTAGAGAACAACATTCAGGGAAACAGAGTACCAACACCTTCTTAGAACATGGAAATAAAAAATAACTCCATCAGAGCTACCTCGCCAAGGAGCATGTTGAAAGTCCAAAATAGCACCATTCATCAGTGTCTCAGGTCCTGTGGCAGCATCTCGGTCACTTACCACAAGGAAACAATGAGTTTCAAACTACTTCTATACATCAAAAGAGTACATGGATAAAATATAGAGATATACAGACAATTGATGAACATAAACTACTAGGTTTGTTACATCTAAATGAAAAAAAAGGTGGGGGGGGGACTCTCAGCCTCTGCAAGAAGCAGTCGGGAGCTGTGTGAGTGAAAAGGCAGGAGTGGACCGGTTGTGTGAGCGCGGTGGGAGTTTGAGTTGTGGAAGACATTGTTGTAGCGAACCAGGCCTGAAGGCCCACCTGTAAGGGTTGTAAACGTGGATTCACAGTGTGAAATTCTGAGCGTTTTCACTTGAGTCAGAATGATTAAAAACTGGTTTGATGACACCTATTTGTCCACTGTAAATTCTCTAAAGCAAGGCTCAGAGTCCCATAGTTTCTTCTTATACTTGATGATTTACACAGAAAAAAATCCCATATATGATACCATGACCTCATCAATACCCATACACCATATGTAATACAAATGGAGGTGTTACGATTAAAAAAAGTGGAGGTAACTGATTCTTGGGGAGCGGAGTTCACTGCTGCCCAGTGGAGTCAGGGAGGCAGCGTTTGTCTCATCGTTCTTCTTGCGGTTCACTTCCTTTGGGACAGGAAGTCTTCCCTGCAAAGCAGGCAGACCCACACACAGACAGACACACATAAAAGACAAAATTAGTCATGCTTCTGAAACCATTTTTTAAAATTTTGCTTTTCCTGCCCAGCCCACATTATACCCTTGAACTCTTGCTGTTTTGCAAAACAGAGTTTACATATTAAACACAGTTCACCTGAATGTAAATATTAGGTCTGTGAGGAAATGAAGTAATTAAACACTGGCCACCTTTGCTTCAGTAGAATGAAGTGCTTCTGTTACGGTGGTGCCAGCCATGTGTGAGGCAGCATTCCCCAGTGTCAGGTTTCTTGGGACAGTTTCTAGTATCAGATAGGGCCCAACCTTAGACTGGGTGATTGATAGATACTCACAGGAGTGTCAGTTGATAATTATAAAAAAAAAAAAAAAGAGTCCAGTGGGTGTGATGAAGACGGGTTAACAATCTATTTTCTAATATGTAATAAAAATATTTAAAAACGTATCTCAACTTGCATCAATCTTATCTATGTATGGCTTATTCTATGTGCAATCGGCGCATGACAGAAGTGGCTACCAAAGATGGGAAGTGTCTGTCTGGGAGAGAAATGATGTGAGGGTGCCCAGACAGCGGTCATAGGAAAGTGGGGGCTAGTGGGGAAACCAAGGCCAGAAGAGAGTGAGATTCAGCTCATCTAGACTGACTGGGGCTATTCTAAGGCTCTCCTCACAATCCTGATGAGAAAGGTTTTTGTGTTTCTGACTAGAATAACTCAATCTCAGTGTGACTACTGATCCGCCGCCACGTGGCTTCCCGGACACACTGCTGCAGCGCCAACAGTGGAGAGGAGCTCTCCATCACAACCAGACAGCAGAAGCACAGCACAGTGAAGCACACCTGCCCACATGATGCACAATACAGGTATTCATTTACAACAGATAGATTTTATGCCCTGTACAGGTATGAACACAGTGAAGATTTGACGATGGTCTCTCTTTCAGCTGAACTCTGGAGTTTTAATTACTGACATTTTCTTGGAAGAAATTATCCTTTGTGGTTTTAAAACATGTGGGCTTTTTTTTTTGTTGCTCAAGTCACATGTTCTAACAAGACAGTTTTAATAAGCCAGTTTGACTAGATGTAAAGTACTTGGATTAAAGTGATAATCTTACTTTGTGGCCTATAAATTAACACATCTGAATTTCTTTTTAAGAATTCAGAAACCAGTAACTTCCAAACAACTTGAAATTGAATAAATATTTTCAGCAACCCAGGGGTGAACTAAATGCAACAGATTATTCAACTTTAAAAAGTCTTACTTACTGTACAGATTTTCCATATTAAACATCTGGTATGCCTCAATTTTTTACTTAAAAGTCTCGGACTTTGAGAGCATACAGCATTTTTTGCACATATATAACCATGATGTACTTTAATATTCCAATCTTAGGTTGTGATTTTAGAGGTTGTTTTGGTATCATTAAATACCAATGGGACCAAACCAGAAAATTAAATAAAAATATAATTCACCACTCACACACCCTTAAGGGTCTAGATTCAATTTCCAAAAGCATAATATTGGGTAGTTACTTGCAGTTGTGAAAATAATTTCAATCTTGGAATCTTGGTACACAGTCCCAAAATTTAAAAAAAAAAAAAAAAAAAGGAAATCCACTGTAATCCCAGTGTCTTTAAAATAATGCTGCCAGCCCGACCCCACCTCACCCCACAGTCAACCAGTTACCATGGTTCAGGATAGGACAAACTTAGGTTTTGGACAAATGAAGAGTTCAATGGCTGTTAATTGTCACAGGCAAGAAAAGAAGGAAAACCAAAAGTTGATAAATGTTAACTCAACAATTATAGTCTTTACACAGCTTGCCTTAAAACTGCTCCAGTTCAGACTTACTCTGTTCAAAAGTGAATATACAGAACGTTAGTGTATCTCTCTATTTAAATCTCAGTCTCAGTACTAATCTTCTACCTCCATGAAACATACACAACAAAACAAAAGGAAGAGCTAGGGATTTGGGAAGAGGCACTTCCAGAAAAAAAGAAAGTGACGATTATTTCAGATTTGAATTTACCATTTTTACCATTTTTTCTGTTTCAAGGTCCCAGATAATATACATTTCTTCATTAATTATTCATTTTCTGAGTGCCTACTATGGCTGGAGTACTCTATTCGATTTCAAGCTTAGAGAGAGATTGAAACAGAAACAGTAACAGTCCCTGCCCATCTCACCCTTCATTAACTTGCTGTGTGGAAGACAAGCATACAGACTGGACCCTCATGAGGCAATGGTAGTAGGGCCCACAGGGAGGTGTGCTACTGAAGCACCCTGAGGGCCTGGAGCCCACCATGCCCGTGGAGAGAGGTGCTCCTGAGGAGACAGAGTTCTGTGCGTTCTCCCTATGGAGTCCTGCATTTACTAGATTTCAATCCTCTTCCCCTGACTGATTTCAATCCACACACCCTCCCACTATTTTTTTTTTTTTTAAATAATAATAGGCTTTCTGCCCCAACTAAAGGAATTTTAGGCTTCTGCAACAAGTGGAGGAGGCATTTTGAAGATGGGACACAAAGAAGTCTTCTTTCTCCAGATCCAGAAGTCAGGCCTTGTAAGAATTCAAGCCAAAAAAAGTTCATCCATGGGAAAAACGGTTCTTCTATCATCCAGCACGTATTTGTGCCAACAGAGCTGAGGGACTTGAGTAATTCAAGAGGCTAGGGGTTGGGGGGCAGATGTGTCCAGTGGCTCCCACAGCCCCGCCGTCCTGAAAGTCACGCCAGTTAATGTGCCTCGGGGTGGATCAGCCCTCCCGACAGATGACTACTAGGAAATTAATCCCCAGTTAATAATGTGCTTTGGACCAAGTAAGTCAAGATTATTTTTCCTACAATTATACAAAGATATGCTTTTCCAGAAGGGAACTTCTGGAAAAAGAACAAATAACACTATGCTTAAAATATTATTCACATATTTAGAGAAGAAAGAACTTAAAATAGCAGAAGACCTGAATACCATGATCCACGGTGCCCACCCCTGGGAGCATGTCTTTGTGTGAGACAAGACCTAGCACAGCAGGGCTGGCTTTCTAAGGGTACGGTGAGGCACCACTGAACTCATCAAGGAACTATGCCTAGTCTTGCCCCTCTGGTTTATGTCACCAGTATCAAAGAGAGAGGACCTCTGGATGCCTGAATGAGGCAAGAACTAATGTGAAGGCCTCAGCTGCCTTAAGAGAATTATGCCCTGATCTGGCACAGTGACGAATGTCTGTGGTTATACTGCTCGTGCCGCTGGTGTGCTGCTGGTGAGGTGGTGGGGTGTGGGTGTCTTTTAAGGAAAGCGCTACTATTTTAGCTCTCTTCCACTCCAGCTCTACAAATCAGTGCAAGTCTAGTTCAGGCAGGGTCAAACCATTTTGTTCACCTACTTTCCTGCCAGTGATTTCAACCTTGACCTTCAAAAATGCTCTGCAAGATTAAAAGTGATTTAAGATTGTTTTCTTTCAGTGCAAACTGCCAGTTGATACAACCTCTTCAGTTTCTGCCTGCCAGTATAAGATAGGGAATTGTTGATACTATTTAGTGTAAATAAAATAATTTCTTAAACATTGAAATACCAGTAACAGCTGGGGGAGGACTCACCGTTAGTCAATTACACTTATGAAACTTTCAAATAGAAATTTTATTTTCAGTGGATTCTGTTTTTCTTTCTTAACTGCAAAATCAGCAAGTCATTGGTTAAAAAGTATACTCTCCCCGCTTGAAGTCAAACAAGTATTCACCCTAAGAGGCAAAGTCCAGTATCTACAGTAAAAACTGGTAAGTAGTTGTTATTGTTTGTTTCAGAAATTATGCTAAAATCTAAAATATAAATTTTACAAATTTTCTTGAGGCAGAGAACTGCCACACCTAAGATGTCAGAACAATGAAACCACGTTTATAAAAAATGGTTTTTAGGCTCAAAAATTAGAAGAAAGAAATGTAACAGTTTTTTTGTTCCTCCCTTTTGCTTCATGGATAATCTTATCAGACCTTCAGACTTCATTAGCAGACAATTAATAGTCATCATACTTTTAAGAAATCTTTTAGTTTGATCATTGTATTTGAGTTTGTCTAACCAGAAATGGAACAGACTTAAAACCTGTAAACTGTACTTTGATAAACTGATTCCATGTTTTAAATGAAAATTTTTCATTTATGAAGGAAGATAATGTGAACTTTAAGTCATAGGACTTTAGGATATTTTTTAAAAGTACATTATTTCCAAGGTCATCATAGTATCAGATTAATGGATTGTTATAGCAGCCTATAATGGGTATTCAAATGAAAAAGCTCTGATATTTTAAAACAATTGTTTCTATATTGAAAATAGTGTTAACAATATGGCATCTAAGGATCTTACCTTAGGAAGCCTTCCCTCCATGTCCTTGTTTGGAAATGGTTCTTGACTGACCCAGACAAAGAGTTCTGGGTAATAAACCTATAGAGACACAAAAGCATACACATTCAGATTAAAAACAGGATCCACTCTGAAACTACACGGGATAACCTTAATGAGCTCAATTCTCCTCAATGGTTACTTATTCCCGACTACCACTTAGAGCACTGGGGAAACCATTAACTCTTTCAAACTGTTAGTGTGCTTCTGAACACGCACTGCACTCAGGAGAGTTTCAGCTCGATGTCTTCCAAGATTAAGTCCAATAAAGCAGAGATATCAATCAATGTTATTTTTAGCAGGCAAAGTAGCAGCTTCATGGTATGTCTGGCTGAGTGCACTAAGTCATCGGGGAGGTCTAACTTTCAAAGGATTCTATAAGTATCCTTGCAAAACTCCATCAAACACTGTTAAGGGTTATTCTGATCATTTATTAGAAGGCCAAAGATTATGAATAAAATAAAAGAGGAAAGAAAGCAGCAGCCCAGATTCTCTCCAAGTCCATGTGGCCAGTGACAACACATTCTGCCCAGCTGCCTGAAACAGCCAAGTGTCTGAGGGAGGGGCGGGAGATAGGTGTCATCACCATGAATGATTCAGAGAATACTAGCTGATGAATTCGGTGGTGGGAGGGGGTGGAGCGAGGGAGTGGAACTGAGTAACTCTTCTTTAAATATACAAAGGATGATTAGCATAAGGTTGCCGACCAGCTGTTCTCCATCTTCAAGTAATGACAGGAGAGGGGAAAGGCCTTAAAATTACAACTAAGATTTGGGTCAGCTCTAAGGAAGAACTCAGCATAAGAATTGTCAAATTACTAAAAGAAATTAGAGAAAAACTGTGAAATCTTCTTTAAAAAATTTAGAAACAGAATCCAACAACCATCTGTCAGGGCTAATTCACATTTAATATAGTTCTGATTGAAAGCAGAGTGAAATTAGGTAAGATTCCCTCCAGATCAGATTCTCCAAATTCTGCAATAAATAAGCCTCACATTTAATAAACAACAATTAAGAGTCACACCTCATTAACAGATTAACAAACAGACTTAGATGTGTGTTTACATTTTGGTTTTGGAAGCCGTAATTGAGGTAACCTAATCATTGAGTTGACTGTAATGCTTGGTATACCCCGATCAATCCATTTTGTCAGGGAATCTAGGGTAGGAAATGTAGATGGCTAAGTGTGTTCACTCTTCGGAATAATTGAACAGTAACTAACTATCTTTGCTCTACACCAGTGACATTTGTAGCACATCCTAGCTTACAAAGCAATTTTGCATACATTACTTAATTTGTCCTGATGATAAGCCAATAATATTGGTCTTATCATTAAACAAATGAAGAAATTGAAACTCAAAAAGGTCGACTTGCCCCAAGTCACACAGGTAGTGTAGGGTAGGACTGAAACTCACACTAGGTTTCCAGATTCTAAACTTCAGTTCCTTCCACTATCCTGCTGCCCTCGCATTATCCCAGAATGCAAATCGCCTACCACCACTCCCTCAAAATTATACCAGTCCACAGCCGCCACCCACGTTTGGGTCTTAAAGAGAGCTCATTCTGCAAGAGCTAGAACTATTTTCTTTTTGGACTGGGTCTGTTTTCTGAGCCATGTGGTTCCCCTCACCCCAACCACCTTACTTTTCCACATATTCCTCTCCTGTGCCCAGCTCCTTCAGAAAGTAATCCACCATCTGCCTTGTTTGGGACAAGCAGCCACTTCTGACATTTCCTTTATCCAGGAATGGGTGAAGAAAACAAAATAATCTCAAATACACAAGCTTTTTTCAGACTTATAACAAAGTCACAGCACACAAAAGCCCAGTTTGGGCTCAACTTTAGGGGACCCCAAGTTTGAATCTACTGTTAAATTCACTTCATATAAATGGATATAAAGTGATTACATTTCTATATTACCACTTTAAAAATCATATTTCAAGTACAGTCTTAAAATATTAGTGAGAAATTAAGTTCTGTTGGAAACCAAAAACGTTGATAAAAGTACATGTAAAAACTTTGTAGGCACAGGAAGCAAAGAAAAGCAAGGTCAGGTAAGTATTGTCATTCTTGCGTTCTTGTGCTTTTCTGGGATATTCCATTTTAACGAAATGACACTGCTTTAACATTTAACTTCTAAGCATCATTACTAAAACCACCAAAGTCTAATTTGTAGGGGAAAATAGCTTGCCTTTCAGAAATTATTACACCTATTCTAACAATCTGTTGTTCTAAGAACTCTCCATTTGCTAAAAAAAAAAAAAACAAAAACAAAAACAAAAAAAAAGCCAATGACTTTTGCCAAAGAACTTGGGAACATGAATATCTGACAGCAAAACACACATGACTAAGGAAACTTTCTCCCTTACTTCATATTTGTTACACTGACCAAGGCTTTTTTTTTCACTATTAGGCATTTTTAGCACATTAGGCATTTTTTAGTATTTGAATCATCAAGTAATCATTGTATACTTTTAGAAAAATGAACGTTGCTTTGGCCTTCTGGTAGTTTTCCAATCTCCTTCAAAGTCAGAACCTTAAGCCAAAAATGGCAGGGACAGAGGAGTCTCAGTTACATTCTTAAAACCTGCTTGGCTGGTATCTAAGAACTCAGCATATCCCTAGACATAGTACCTAAAGGAGATATTTAAACTTTTCATTTTTTTAAGCACAGCTAGTTTTAAGAAACCGTGGTAAATTACTGGAAACAAATATGATCTATCTGCATTACAGCATTGTTCTTTCTTATACCTGCAGTATTTTGAGACTCTAAAGTGAAGAGCTTAAGAGAAAAGATCTATTGACAATCATTAATTACCTTTGCTCTCAAATGATTCAGACCTGACCTTTGGTATTCCGCAAGGGCCTGAACTTCCATTCCATTCCCAGTGCTGGATGTGGAGAATGGGTGATCCCAAGCAACAATCATTTGCCTTTCTGTCAAAAGCTGTCTCGGTTTAAATGTACTGTATTTTCTTTGCCTCTTCTTCTCATCGGAACATGTTCTAGTCTACTCGCCAGGTGCTACTTCTGGCAGTCAGAAATAGTGCCACTTTTCAACTTCAAGTTTCTTACCAACCTTTTTTGCATTCATGCAGCAAGAGTTCATGAAATAGCTGCAAAGTGCTGGACACTGTTAGGTTGTGGGAATTGCAAGAGAAACAGAGTTTCTGCCTTCTAGATGCTCACGTCTGGGGGTGGGGCAGGTACAGCAGGGGTGATCAATCCACAAAAATTTACTTTTAAAAATGTGTTATGGGCTGACTTGTATCACCTCAAAATTCATATGGGGAAGTCCTAACCACCAATACCTCAGAATGTGATTGTATTTGGAAACAGGATCTTTGCAGAGGCAATTAAGTTAAAATAAGGACATCATCAGGGTGGGCCCTAATCTCAAGTGACCCATGTCCTTCTAAGAAGAGATTAGGACACAGATACACAGAGGAAAGACCATATGAAGACACAGGGAGAAGACAGCCATCTACAAGCCCAGAAGGGAGGCCTCAGAAGAAACCAACCCTGCCAACATCTTGATCTCAGACTTCCAGCGTCCAGATTGTTAGAAAATAAATTTCTGTTGTGTAAGCTGCCCAGTCTGTGGCACTTTGTTATGGCAGCCCTCGCAAACTAAACACAGTGTGCTTTTTAAGGGCAACAACAAAAAAGAAATATATAGGTTAAGTCAAATGTAATAGCTGCTGGAACATCTATCAACAGACTAAACAACAAACAAAACCAACATTTAGCATAATATCCAGTAGTGCTGTCAACAAAGGAAATGGGGGTGGCAGTGAGCACATCTGGGAGGGCATTTGATGGCTGTCAGAATCAGCCAAGGAAGATGATAGAAGGGTGAGGGATAAGTGCAGAATAAGCTCCATGCAGGCAAGTGGCCCTGTAGCCAGGTCTCCCTGCAGCTCCTAGGGGCCACAGCAGTAACAAGACCCACATGAACCCATGAGTTTCTGTGCCCTCAGTTTTCTAACTAGTTCAGAATATTAGGAACTGACAATGACCCTATCACTGAAGCTTTTGAGTGCTGATAATATGAGGGTCAGAAAACTGGTAAGCTGATCCATCTATCTAGAGTCCATCTGTGCTTGCTGAACTGTAAAGCTGCCCATTCTTCTTGGTGCTCATCAACTGACACTCCAAACATGGACACGTGGCTGATACTGCATTCCATTCATTCATTGTCTGAATTCAAGTTTGTGTTTTTCATGAAGGCCAATTAAATTAACTTTCTTTTTGACACTTCATTGAATTCTCTATTGTTGTTTCGGTGGTTTGCATCTAGAAAATTTAAGCGTTCTGGGTATGGGAATACCTCAAAACTGTTGTTTCATTAAACAAACCAAAGTTTGCATTAATCTTCACAAAAAGTATGTCTTCTTTTAAAACTGCTTTTTCCATGTATACAATAAACAATTGTTTTTGCCCAAATAAAATCCTCAAAACCCTCTAGAATACTATTCTTCCAGAAGTCTATTAGAAAATCAGAAAAGCAAATCGTACCTTCAACAATTGAGAAAACAAAAATGCTAGTTAAAAAAAAAAAAGTAGAGGGAAGGAAAATTTTGTTACTTTAATTTGGAGAATATGCAACAGTTTTGTTTGAATTCTGGGGAAGTTTGAGTGTTTATACTTGTCACTGAATATATTGGTTAATGCATCTTTTTCTATGATGCTATATTTATCTCACTGACAATTAGGTTGAAAAACAACAGAACGTCATAAAGAACCACACTGGTTTAAAATATACTAATCATGACTTGTATTTAGATATCCTTGATCAATTCTTAGGAAATACCAATTTTATGCTTTTGGGTATAATTAATATACTTAAACCCACTATATATTTAAATATTACTTATAGTGAAAATGTGCTATTTCGTACTGATTCTCTTGAATGTATTGATAGTTGGGTAAGTTTCAATATTCTATCACAGCATACAAATTGGAAATAAAATACTCAGGGTTTTGTCCCTCCCTTCCTTCTTTCCTTTCTTTTGAGGCTTGTTTTACTCTTTGGACAGTGCATCATGAAAAATAACTGCATTTTTAAAGTCTATAAAGTAATTAGCTCACCGGTAATTATTGCTTAGTATAAACTATTATTAATAGCTGACAACTAGTGCTCCAAATGAGAAAAATGAAATGTGGGAAAATTCAGAGACCAGTCCCCCAAGGTCCTAAAAAATATGCAAACTAGATTATTGCTTAAATTATTTTTCAAACACTTTTTAAGCTTTTCATTTCAAAATTTGCTATTTATTTTTCAATGGCATGGTCCAAATACAGAATCAATCTAAAAGTTCTCGGACATGTTTCCTATCACTTCTACTACATTGCAGGTAAAATTTGAATCATATCTACTTATTACCTGTTTCTAAATTTGTATTTTCCTCTGTTCATTTACTGTCTTTATCAATATTTCTTTGGGGAGACTGTTCTATGAGAATGATACTTAAAGGCAGGATTATATCTTTTTGCAGAGGCTAAATACACCACACACATAAATACTGCTTACTTCATTAGTTAACATACATTTTCAGAAATCTGCCATGAAGATATGTTGCATGGTTTGGTTGTTAACGACCATAACTGTAATGTTATTCTTTATCCCTGATGGGGTCCTATAGGGTTAAAGAATGCACACACGGGTCCTTTATAACTTAACAGGATGGGTATGCGTATCTGTCTCCTGCAATTAGGAAAGCCGACTAGGGCAGCACGGGTCCAACCTGTATAATCAATTCTTTCTGCAGCAAAGGGGTATATTTCATAATCTTTCTGCCAATTAAATAGTATGTGTCTGCATGTGTACATGTTTTATTCTGCCTAACTAGCCAGGAGGTTGTGAAACCTAGTACTGTAATTCAAGGAGAATTCATGCGCATATACATACACTTCCTTTCTGCAAAAACCCTTTGAGGTGGTGCTATAAAGAATCTCCCTCAAAAGCCACTCTGTTCCCAGGTGTTACTGGTCATATGAGAGGGCCAAATGTAAACTGAAACCATAAATGAGCTACAAGGATCATTTTCTCTGAACAACATTACATCAAAGATTAGATGGTGCCAAAAGATGATGCACTGTGCTGTCTCTCTAGAGACGTAGTCTTAGAGATCTGCCTAACCTTGTGAATGCTGCTTGGAGAAGAAGCACACAGTGGGGAAAACACGTTGCCACTGGAAGACAAAAAGGTAAGCCTGCAGAACACTGGGCCATTCAGATGATGTACGTAACCTCTGCACATTCTGGAAAGCAGAATAAAAGTGCTGGGGCTTAGGTTGGCAAGCATTCTGGCTTGGGGGCTAAACGAAACATGCACTGACCTAATTTAAACACACACATACACACACACACACACACACACACACACACACACACACTGGAGCTGGCTGTGGTAACAATGGGTAATTACAGAGTATGCATTATGAACACCCAACTACTGCACTCTAGACTCATAAATGCCCTCCTGCTAGAAAGGAAAGGAAGGCCTTTGTGGCACCTGCTGACACTCCTTGAGTTTCATTGCCTGGTAAGTCCTTAACATGTACAAATAGAGGTTGGGGGAGACAACTGTGTTTCAATAAGGAAGACAATGATGGCTCACTAATTGGTTAAACCCATTGGCATTAGCTTCGCTTCGGGTGTGTATTCCCACTACGGGCACAGAAAGCGTTCATATTTTATTAATATTATGCCACAGATGATGTTACTGTCCAACATTACATGTCAGGAAGGCAAAAGATTTACAATTCTTGATCTTATGAGTTGGGGTGTCTGAAACAAGCTTTGCAGACTTTAATAGTGGAATCCTCTAAATTCACTCTGCTCATCGTGAAGCCATCTTGAGAGGCCACTGATGAATATGTGGGAACCTGACAGCTGTGGAATTTTATTTCTAGACTTTAACTAGGCACAGAAAGGAAAAGGAAATCTCCTTGCTGGCAACAAAATGAAAGTGTTTACATGTGAAATTAATCGTCAGCACAAAGAGCTTTCACAGTCACTCTGTTCCACAATGTAATATTCTGCTTGTTTGGCTGCTGAGTGTTTTAAAATTTCATTTCTAAGAATAATAGCAAAGACTTTCAAGGGGGGCAAGAAATCAGGTCAGGAGCCAGCCACAAAAGGTTAACAGAATTACCCGACTTTTCTTTTTCACCACGACTTAAAACCATTCATTACGTGAGTTTTCTGGGCTTTGATGGTACATGGTTCAAGGCCAGGTGCAGCAACAGCCAGCTAATTCAAGCATAGTGAACACGGAGGTCAGCTGCAAACATTTACGTTGTGCAACATCGTGTTCCTCTCATTCCAGCCCCATTCCTTTCCAATAAGAGCACATTTAGCACAAAGCAATCCACCTAAAGACTCCATAAATCCAAAAAAGGGAGTCACTGATCGAGGAATTCTCAGATTTCTGCCAAGGCACCCTCCCTTGGACTGGAGGTCAGCCTGGTACAGTAATCGGAGCCAAACTGTGGACTGGACTCAAGGAATTAAGTTCAGCACTTCAAATCTTGACTTTTAATGGGCAATTTTTCTTTTCAGCAATGAAGAGAAAACAAAGTACAAATGGCTGGTAACAGCCCAAAGTAAACCAGGAGAAAAAGCACAAGAATAAAGCTTGGATACAAATCTTATAAGTAATATCTAAGAGCCTTTCCAAACAATGGGAAAAAAATAAAGCAGCCTTTTTAAAACTTGGTTTGAGATTATGCAGTTGTGAGTGAACAATAATAAAGCAAAGGCCACAATACAAGATAGTTGCTCTCTTTAGTGAAGAAAAAAAAAAAAATCAGCCTTTGTTAGCTTGCAGCAAAAAGGCCCCTCAGGCATTTAAGCACTGCATAAGCTTTTCTTTGCCCCTGTGACCTCAAGAAATATATTAATTCAAGAAATATGTTAATAAAATCTTTTACCTCCCTGGAGTGGAACCAGAATAAATATTTACTTAACACATCTGAGTTCTAAGTCTGGCCCACCTTATTCCATTATATAAATTGGTTTTAATTTGTAACTAAGAAATTAGGAATATGACATCTTGTGATGTTTCTCCGACTTTTAAGATATATTAAGAATTTAAAAAGAAAGAACAAACTTGAATACTAATTCTATATTATGCCCCAGCACACCAAACTGCACTTGTGAATTTTAGAATGGTATTATTCACCACAATTGAGAGTAAAAGCTGTTGATATGCTTTCTAATACTAGACATCTGGAGTAGCAGGGCTTTTTCCAAGCACATTCCAAGGTTAATAGGAAACATCTAGACTTGCTTTTATTAGCTGGTTTGAATAATTTTAAGTTTGCTATGCCGAGTTTCACCTTCAAATAACTATATGAAGTTTAATTTCTAGTCACCAAGAATGCTATGTTTTCTTTCCTTCTGTCCAAAAATTACTGTGCTATCCACTAAAATCTTATGAAAATTTTCCCCCAACAACATGAAAGAATAATTATTCAAAAATACGATTTCTTTTGTTAAAGCCTTCAGTTAAGGGCTGATGAGGTAAGTATTTATTTAGACATAGGATTTTGGATTTTTCTTGGTCTGGGTGGATGAGATAGTTAGTTGCTTTGAAGAGTCTGAAGCGATTTCAAAGCATTCCTCTTGTTGACATGTGCAAGACAGAGCTTTCCAGAAAGTCTGCATTTTCCCCCGAAGTGCTCATTCCAAAAGAAACTATTCACTCTTTCCATCAATGTATCCTCTTCTACTGGTAGCTGCAAACCCTTCAGCATTTAGCTAAAGTTATTTCACAATTCAATGCTTGTCTTGCACTGTCCTGGTCATTTAAAAACTGGTATCTCTTCAATAGCAAATAGTATCATAACAGACCACTAAATTTGGAGGGAAAGTGGTTTCTATTGCAGATGGATGTAATTAAAATTGGTGTAAATCACAGGGTACAGAATTCTTATCTGGTAAGAATTCTGACTTTTTTTTAAAGAAGAAAAAATATATCCAGATCTGTATCCACATGCTATTTAAATGCTCAGGACAAAAAGAAGCCACTAAGAGGCTTCTAAGAAAACTGTCAGAAAACTAAAAGTACAAGAGGAATGGAATAGGGTTAGAATGGATATGCCCCTGCACACCACCTGGGTTTTCAACCCCTCTGGGTGGAGCCAAGTCTGATTAAGTAGAGGGCTTCTCTCTGATGAGGGATTCAGTCCGGCAGTACCATGTGAGGCAGAGAAGACTGAAGGGAGGAGCTCCCAACCCAAACAGATGTGTTTCAGGGCTAGTTGTCACCCAAGAAACACAGGCTTCAAGAGTTGTGAAAATCCAAACTAGAGGCTTAAGTTCCCTAGAAAAAGAATCATCGGTAGTTTAATATGAAAAAGGTAGTAGTGGAAACTCAGGCTTTCATTCCAAATTCTGACTGTATTCTCCAACAAGAGAAGACCTCAACCATAGATTTTTCCCCTCAGTCTTTCTTCCATTGTAAACCAAACACCACAACTATACTTCTCCAAAAGAAGGGAACTATGAGCAATAAACAGGAGTAGTTGGAACCCACAGAGACAGAGTATGTAAATTCGGGAACCCACAGTTTTCTGTAGAAATGCATAGTACAATCCACTATAATGTTTTGTTAACTTTGGGCAGGTTTTCCAGGTGCACTCATTTAATCTTCACAATGTTACCACAAGGAAGAAATAAACCCAAATATATATAAAGCGCTGGCAACAGGATCAGGCACATAAGTAAGCAGATCTGTGTTAGCTACTATTATCATCATCGTCACCATTTTACAGATGAGAACACTGAGGGAGAATAGTCAGGGAACCTGCCCAAGGTCTCCAGTGTTCATGTGTTGCTACAGTCCTGGAGGAAAGACCAGTCTTAGAGTAACAACTTTGGCTTGGCCACATTAAGACTTTGGATCTAATTAAACCCAAGCAATACTAGTAACCACAGTTTTTTTCTTTTTTCAATGTTCCCTGGAAGGAAATGTCCAGCACAATATAAATATGTAGCATCATTGCAGCTAATAACAAAACGCATTTGCTGAGAAACCAGATTGTTTTATATGACCCCCAAATGAACTCTCAAACAGTTCCTTCTCAGATGGCTACCAATGGACAATCTAATTCAGTATAGCTTTCTCTTTCATCAACTGCATTTGAAATCCTGTTCACTATAACTTTGCTTTTCGAAATGTTAACTCAATTTAAAAACAAACTGCTTAGTTAAAAAATATTTTATCAATGATCTGCAGACACACAAACCATATACTGCATAAAAATATGAAGTGTTTTTGTTCCTCTCAGTTGAAGAATATAAACACTTTTCAGACAAGAGAGGCAGTATATAAACTACTAAGAATGATAAATTCAGGAAGAAAAATAAATTTAACCAGACTCCATCTGGAAACCTTTAATTAATGTATTAGAAATCCAGCCAGTTCTAAAGATGGACAAATGGAAAGATGCAGATGGGGCAACAAACTAATTATTAACATCCTAAAGGTATCAAATAGCAAATAATTAGGTATGCTGTATTTGATCCTCATATTGCAGGTAGAGTACTGTATTCAATCACAGTCAAAGATGTAGTGACCCTCTGACTTCATCTAAACAACATAATAGCTCATCAATTTAGTAAAAATTCACAATGATTATCAGATGAATTGTTTCTATGATGCAAAGAACAAATTTAATTGGATTTCTGATTGAATTGATTGATTATGCCAGTGTAGACAGTCAAGCCTCATATAGTAAAATTAAAGTTCAAAAAGTGGTTATCATTTTTTTTTAAAAAAAGGAAAAACAGGTTTAATAAAGATTAAATGAAAAGATGTGGAGACTTGTCTCCCAGACCTTGATAACAAGATCAAAACAATTTAAGATTCTATTATCAAGAAGTAAAAAAAATATGCAAGGCCAGGGCATTTCATGGTATATATTTAGACCCAAGACTCCACAGGGCAGTAAGAAATGGAGACTCAGTTCTGGTCCACAGCATCCAGGCTTTGGAAAAGTTAAATCCAATTAATAAAGGACTAAAATTGTGAAGATAAGGGCTCAGAGATATGGACAGAATTTTTGATCCTATATTAACTAAATTGGCTAGGTATATAATCTCAATTACCCAGTCAATAAAGACATATTTACTAAGTACATTCTGCAGGTATTGAATATTTCATAGGCAGTTTTTAATCCTATACAATTAGCATCTTATCAAAGAGTAAGTCCCATTAGTTTGGGCTGGAAATATCAAAGTAGCAAAGAAAATACTTTTACAAAAAGATTTTTTCAAACTAAGCCACCAAATCCCCGGAAGTCTACTCAGGAAAGGGGTGGGCTAGTTCATATGATTTATCTATTCAAATTCTAATTCTGTTAACAACACAACTGAAATTCCGATATTGCATGCTTTTAAACGGTGGGTACATTCCCTGCACAGCATTCATTCTTTAAGCTACTATTAACTGAGTTCCTCTGATGCAGAAGGCACTAGGTTAAGTGTTCAACCATGTGCTGCCTAACCCACATGGCGCACTCATCTACTGACACTCAACAATGTCTGGCAAATGAGCACAAGAACAGACTTTGACATCATGGTCCCAATGAGCCTTCTGGGTGGCTTTCACTAGGATGACTGAGTGGGAGGCATGAAACAGTACTTCGTGGAGGAAATAGTTAATATCAAACCCTTACTTGGGTCATGTTTATAAGCACCTTAGTCAATAAGTTTTATCCATATAAATACTGACTAGTTTTCCCTTGATAGTCTGAAAGTTGGCTGGCAAAGAAGCAGTATCTTCTCCTAATTTCTACTCTTTCCTGTCCAAGAATAAGTTATATATCAGACACCAACTTTATCCAATGAAAGCGTCCTCAGGATGCCTGGACCCGTTTTAAACAAAACAACTTTTGTAGATTTCTCCTTGTTCAGCCACTGGACTGTAGTACTTTTCCCTGCTGGAAATGTATCAAACTCAATTCAGCAGGAAGGCTGTTACCTGCTCCAGTAATCAAAGGACATGGTGTGTGATGGTGATCTGAGTAAGAGCTGGGATGGGGGAGAGAAGAGCTGGAGCTGGCAGCCACAGCAAAACTTCTGTGCACATTATGAGTCTCCCTGTTGTTTTAATTACCTATTGGTGAGTCTTTGGCTTGGCATTTTTATTGGCAACAACTACTTGGCTACTCCCCCTTCCTTTTCAATCAATGGCTCTGGTTCCCAAATTTCAGTGAAAAGGGGCAGACAGACCTTCCTTTCATGCCACGTTCTCTTATGTTATTTACTCCTTCTCCTTCTTGAATATAAGTTATATTTATATTTTGCTCCATGAAAATAAGGAGGAACACTGAACCAAGCAGTCTAAAATCAGGGATTTAAAAATATCTCTAGCTAGATTATCATAACACTTTCAAGGCAAAAAGCTTAGATTAGAAACCATTCTAAGGTCATAATGGGCAACAATTTCACTTTAAAAGATTTCATTACCCTGTGAAACCAGGGCAGATTTGGTCTACTGTCATGACTGCCTCAGTCAGACTATTGAGACAAACTGTGCTGCCCGCTGGAAAAGCACCATTAATACCCTCACGCATAGTGGCGCCCCACAGCCAGTGTTGTGGATAAGATGTGTGCCACTACCCTAAAGTGATATTCCTTTTTTATCAGACCATACCAACCTAGCTTTCTGGATTCTCAGGACCTCTTCTGCCCAAAGGAGTGCAAAAGAATGGAACACAGAATTTTAGGAGTCATTTTTGTAGTGTGCTTAGATCTCACTTAACTCTTCCCCCTTACTTCCCAAACATTTGAGCCTTCTAAAATGTTCACTGAAAGCCTCTTTTCAGTAGTAAATTGTTCATCAGTGCCTGTTCATTTCATTTCCCGGAATGCCTGACTTATAACCAAGCTATCACAGCAGTGCAGTGTCCGGCCATGACTCATTGTATGATACCAAAGTGGGCAACCTGGTCCTGCCCAGAAATAACAGATTGTCATGTATCCATGACCACTGACTCATTCATTTATTCCGCAGACAGTTGTTGATCACTGAGGATGTGCCAGATCCTAGTTAGGTATGGGAGCACAGATTAGACTGGTTCATGGTGTGGGATCTATTCCAAGGTCTCATTAGGAAATGTCAGTGAAGGTTAGAGTTTCCTTTCACTTTGTAGAAAGAGAACACCAAACCACTTTGTAGAAAGAGAACACCAATTTCTCTACAATTTCATTACTGAAAGTTCTCTCTCAGTAATGAAACTTTTCTACATCTGAATTCACCATCCCACTGGTAGAGGAAATGGAAAAAAAAGGCATCACAGCCTCAACTGCTACCAAAAAGGGAAAGGTGTTGCTCAGTTACTAAGTGGTCAATATTCTTCTATCAAGTATACAACCTCGGAGGGTAGAAAAACATGCAGAAATAAGCCAGCCGCAAGAAGAAAGTTAAACATGTGATAAGTATACAGAGGAACATAAGAAGATTCCTGCTGAATGTACTATGGTGTTTCATAGAGGAGTTGCCATTCAAATTCAGTCTTGAAGAATGGCTTTATTTTGTCAGGAGGTGTATTCCTTCTAGAATCAAGATAAGCAAAGGCACAGAAAGAGGGAATCCTGGGGCAGTTGAGAATAAGAAGTAGCCTGCTCCCTCTAAGAAAATACAATCCACTATGGCTAGAAATAAAGGATTAATTCATATAGTTCCTGGCTTATCTGTCAAGCCGCAGAAATAAAACTTTGGAAGTTCTAAACATAGCAGGTGAAAAAAAATTACTTGAAGGTATGAGGTGGAGAAGGCATAAAGAATTCAAGGAGCAATGCTTACCTATGTCACTTTTACTGAGAGATTTACAGACAAGTACCACCTCATCTAAAGGGGTTAAAAGAGCTAGTCACATCATTTCATGTTGAAAATCTTGCAGCTGATGCATTCCAAGGTAACATTCTGTGCTATTTATAAGAGATTGCAGGAAAAAAAAAAAATCCCTCTTGGACTTGGCTTTACTCGATTTTCGTCTATCATGTGAGGAGATTCTCTTTGGTTGGTCACCACACTACTGACTACATTAGTAACAGCATGTAGGCCTCAAATTGTAAACAATTTTATTGTGATGACATAAGCGTTGGCTTACATTTTCAATAAGTATGGTTAATCGGGAAGAAATGGAAAGAGAAAAGCAGCTAGGTACATGGGGGTGCAACTGATTAGCACATGCCAGCACCCAGTCAGCCTCACAGGAGGGAAGCATGATCTTTCTATCGGGGAGCTTGCAAGGCAGCAACATACTCTCTGGCCAAGCAGACACTGCTGAACCTGCTGGGATCTGCCAATGAAAGTGCTGCCAGTTTCTCAAGAAAAGGATAAGCATGCTCCCTTTTCCCTTCCCAGTTCCTTCTAGCTAGAGACCTTTCTTCTCTCCACCATTCCACCCCAGCCTAAGGGGAGTGAGAGGGAGCAATAAAGTAAGCTGTACCTTTAACCAGAAAGTGTAAGTGAGTGAGTGTGTGTGTTCTTTCCTGTTAAGCACAATCAAAAGGCAAAGAACCTGAGACAGGTTGGTAACCTGAGTGAGAGCCCTGGGCCATCTCTAAGATGCCTGCTCAGGGGCTTCCTATTGCTTAGCACATCAAGTCCTTGACTTCTAGGTCTAGTTTTTGAGGTCTGTCCTTGACAGCACAGAGGTCCTAAACAAGGAGGAAGATCTCCCCTATGATAGTAAAAAGGTACTATGCTTACTCTTGCAAGCCTAACTCTCTAATGCACTCCTTTTATCTGGAATACTCCTCTCTCTCATCTAAATCTACCCAAATATTCTTAAGTCTTCACTCACTCAATATAAGGACTGGTCCTAAGTCCTAGAAATAAAAAGCTTAATAAAAGCATAGTACTTACTCTCAAGGAGCAAATAGTCCACTTCTAGTTTCAAATTTTGTGCCAACTCCAATCGTTAATGGCGCCCTGGAACACTGTATTGAGGATTTTGAAATCATACTCAAGCTGAATAATAACGAGTGTCAAGGTTGATTAGCAATGTCTCCCACAGGTATAAAAGTTAGTGATGGAGATAGCCATATTCTTGCTATTTCTGGCTCCAGCTTAATTTCTACCTTCTTAATATAAGTTTTCCACTATCCCCAATCCCCAGTCCTCACTAACATCACTCGTACCATTTAGCACTAGATTATATTGTTTTACATTGTTAAGTTTGCTGCACATCACAGAATCACAGAAATAGCTTCTACTGAACTAAGTGAAGGCTAGAAAGTTCCAATACTGGGAGTAAAGCTCCTCTTGGGTCCAGGCTGCAGGAAAAGCTGCTGTGAGCTTTAAATACCATAGCTGGATCCAACCCAGAGAGATGGCATCGCACCACACTGCCGGAGTGTGGCTCTGGAAGCTGGGAAAGGTTAGCCATTGCAAGTCACGTTCTTTTGGCAAGTGCCACACTTTATGGTTTCACCGCACTTTGTTTTATCCCTTTAATAATGGAAAATAATTTTCTGTGTAAACTAAAATTGCATTCATTTCGGCTTCCTACCTCTTTTAAAAAAGAGGTTAAGGATACAAATTACTTCTAGTTCACAAAAACTAAACACGATTAAATCATTAAGAATGAATTAAAAAAATTCAACTTAATAGATGTTAATATGCATAGATGAAATATTTGTTGAGCTTCTACCATGTACTTAATACTTTACCAAGCACTATATGAAGTTTATAAAACCTTCTGGGGCCTATAATTTAGTTGAGCAAGGAAAGAAATGCATATGATCCAACTAACAAATAATCGCACCCTGGTTAATACCATGGTATTACTACTAATAACTGAAGTGATATTTAGAATTTAGCTGAGAGCCGTGTTAATGCTTAAGTCCCAAACCATTAGGGCTGTTAATACTTTTGCACTAACAGATCAATTTCAGGATCACTGCTATTTTTTAAACCATTGAAATGAACTATTCTTGAAGCTCTTCCTAGGTACAAAATATATTCAGAAAAATCTATTTCAAATAAATTTACACCCAATAAATATTCTTAGCAATCATAATTTCTACAGATGTGGACTAAGAATTTATGATTAACCTGCTATCCAGTACAAAGTAGAGGAGCCTTTAAAATTGATATATTGTAATATATCTTTACCAACCAAGATGACATAATCCAAGTACATTCAGTACATTTTCCTCTGGTATATTCAAATTGGATTTGCTGGTACGATTTCCTTATCCCTAGTTTTTTCTTGTATAACACGGGAATTATACAGATAATTCAGGCAAATCCTTCACTCCTACATCACTCCAGCAACATTTGGAATTACCAAGATGAATCAGACAAAATCAATTTTTTGAGCATAATTATTCAGATAATTATTTCAACCCTCCATTTCACTTTGGCTATGAGGATATGGCCTTAAAAGACTTTCCAACCAGGAACAGCACTAATTAAAAAAAATGTAGGACCACGAAGTTACGCCAAGGATCCCCAGTCAGCCCAGTGCATCTGAATGCCACATCAGGTCTTTAACTGACCAAGTAAATTAATACTTCAAAGTATAAAATTCATTAATGGCCAAGTATAAATTTGGGTTTCACTCATTTGGTTTAGCAGAGTATTCATATTTTAGAAGTATATTTTCCTATTTTAGAAGTAGTCATCTCAGGATTTAAAACAAAGTAAATTTCTTCAATGTATTTATGATGATGATCTGATTTACATCTTTTAAAGAACTGTATCAGGTTAAAATGGAATGATACTCGGAACAGCTGTTTATTCTAAGATTGCTGCTCAAATACCTTTTCCTACCTGAATTATCTCTATAGCTCAAGAGGAAGCAGGACTGGGCTAACCCAAATAGACTATCCCAACTGTCCTAATTCCTCAAACGATTCCCAATTCTCTCCCTCACTGTTCACTGGAAACTGTGGTGAAAAAGACAGTACCATATAAAATTATTCTCTTAGGTACTCTTCAGCATCTCCACAATCAAGAGTCACTGAGCAACTGGTATATTTACATTCTAAGCCCAATGGTACAAGCTATGAATAGGACCGCATCCCTCCCCAATCTTTGTCTTTTTCTTTAAACAAGGAAACCTTATGTTAATGGAGAGATTATTGAAAGAGTCTTCTTGTAAGCCCATGAATGCCACTTCACAAACTATACAGAAAGCAGAGCTCTATGAATGGTACAATGGAGTCAACTCATCTGTTTTAAAAGCTCAGCATCAGTCTTAAAGAGAACTTATATTGTTCCAATTCCTAGGTCTCTGTTAAAACATAATGAACTCATGCTTACGTCACTGTGAGTCCATGGCACACACACACACTGAGAGGCAAGTTCACTGTGTAGAAGGCAATCATGTTGAAAACCAGGACTTAACCTTGACATTGGATTAAATAACTTATTTTTTCAAACTATTCAATAGGATCATCTATTCATTCTGAACTGTTTTCTTCTCATTAACTTATCCAAAGCAAGTGCCTTTAAAATAGAATACCTAAATAGATCTCATGTAAAATACAATCATAGCAATTAAAATTTAGCAGAAAGCCAAATGTAAATTAAAGAAATGCTGAAGACTTAATATCCTACTAATTGCAAAAAAAAACACAAAACTGTGGGGGTGGGAGAGGCATATTTACTAGAAAACAAAAAGTTGGAGAATGACTTATTGAAAAAAATGTTCTGTTCAACTAAGATACAGCAAACTATACTCAAAACTGACACTTTTAACAGTACTCTTGAGTTGCACAACCCTAGGTGCCACCATGCACAACTTTATGTAAATAGCACTCCGTGCAGTGGCGTTCAAGGAGGCCCATACACAGAACACATGTAATTGGTGCCTCCTAGAGCTGCACAAGTTGATTTTATATATATATATATATATATATGTATATATATATGATATGTAGATATATATAGATTATATATATATTTTATAGATATATAAATGATACAGAAGGGACTCGAGAATCCTTAAGTGTCTCCACATTATTGTTGTAAAACATTATCATTTTAGATACGTAAAAAGTCTAGATATTGAGTCACTGTTACGAATTCTGGAATCTACTAAATAATTTCTTACACTAAAATGAGCTGATTATAAATTTGTATTTGAAATAAGCCCTTTACTAAATAGGTAAAATATACTGAAATTAGATCCTCTTTAGCGTTTTAAATTATGTAACTGGAAATACAAGTTTAACAGGAGAGCCATGCTTATGTATTTTCTAGAGGTGTCCAGGAGACAAATCTACTGCTTCACTAGAAGCAGTTTCTACTGTATGTGGGCTAAGTCTTCACTCTAAGTAAGCCAGTTACAGAGGTCCACAAAGTAATTCCAATTTTAATCAAGGGAAGAAAACTAACTTGATTTTGCCAAAAGGCAGAAAGAGGAGATACAAAGACACCTCTAATATCACTTCTTAAAAAAAAAAAAAGTGAAACCTTTTTTTACATTAATATGTGCAAAGACTTTTAAGATCTCAAGACTTTCTGGAAAAAGAGAATTGCTAGAAAGTTACTTGGAATCACCCACAGACAATAACTGTCAGTGGTTTCATTTCAGGCAATGGGCTTGTGCCAAAAGGGACTGACATCTTGATGAAAGGATCACCAAAAAGTTGTGAGAATTTTTTCATGAGTAAAAATCCTTCCAGGAGCAACAAATTGTGATTCCCCATTCTGCCACCATACATAAACGACAACTGCAAAAAAATTAACACGTAATAATAATTTGCATTTGCTTTTCTGCATTCAAATGGTTCCAACTTCCACTCTCAGCTTTGGCAGGCATGCTTACCTTCTACAAAGCTCATTCTACTTACTACTACAGAAACATGGTATCTTACTCTTTGAGCTTGATCTATAGAGTTAGTTTTGGTAGGGTCCATAGTCATATTTATGTTTAAACTGGTCACCTGACATATTGCAACATACATGAAACCTCTGTGATCTATTTATGGTCACAGAAAGTAGGTAACGTTCTGAGATAAAGAGCTTGGAGGCAAGGTGATGTGGCCAGTCACAGTAAAAAATAAGTAAACACAAATACTTTACAGCAGTTGATTTTATTACCATCCTATTATTCTATGACAACAGCTAATTAAGAATTTAATATGAAGTTGGGAACCATTTGCACAAAATCCATTGATTAGCTTAATTTTATGTTCACTTCTTTTGTCTTTCTACCTCAAGTTCCTTAATTTGATCATTTTCAAACAAGGTCCATGTGGTGCTTTGACACCCACTTGTTGAAATGACAAGTGACGCATACATAAAAAATAAAACACTTGTTAATAAAAATCAAACTGAACTCATTTAACTGCCTGATTCATTTTTCTCCTTGGAAGCTTATACTTGGGTTGTTCTCAAAGAAAACATCAAAGATATCAGATTAAATTTTGATTCATTAAATTCCACCCTCGTTTCAAAGAAAAAAACTAAAACTAAATTTGGAAATCACACATTCTAAGTGACAAAGAGGTGTTTTAAAGAGTATAAACATCTGCAGTAGGACACGCTGTACTTCACTAAAAAGTTTTATGATATTTCTATTATTTTTTTTAGTTCATCTTATTTCCAAAGAGGAAATTTTTCATAGATGATTAATATACTTATTCAGCTGCTTTTAATGTGTATTCCTTCTGTTTCCTTAATCAGTAATCAAACATTAAACTGCATTCTCTGTGGATCATAAGCTTTGTCAGAAATAGTTATACTTTTATTTAGAGGTTAACATGCTTGACTTCTAAAATTGAGTACATGTCTCTCACAAATGAAATTATAAATCGAGAAAAATAACAGTAATTATATTTAAATAGATGGGGCACATTAATATAAAAATTCATGCTTTTCATCTATATTGCTTTAAAGGATAGCATATACAGTAGCTGTTTGATCAGCTGGACAGACTCCTCAGTTTTGGGTAACTTCGGCCTAGCTCTAAGACCCAAGGCTTTGTTTGAGCCCTACTGCTGTCACCACCTCCATGCGTGTCACAACACATCACTCTTCTTAAAGAACCGAATAGTTTCTGTTGTTCAAATTAAATAAATCCTCACTTCTGAAAGAGGAATTTTAGTTTTCTATTCAAAATAATTGCAAGTCAAAGAACTAATTTGCCACATCCAATTCACATAAATTGCTGTACTGCAACGCTCCCAGGAACTGGAGATAGAACCTTTTAAAGGTCAGATGGGGTGTAGAACAATGAAGGGTTGAGGCGGATGAAGATGGGTGGTTGATATTTATATGTAACAGACTGGTAAGAAGTACTGAGAATCTCCTCTGATGACCAAGTCTTACCATTTTGAGAATCTTAGTCTTGGGCTTCTATTCTCCCTCTCTTCAGTCCAGGGAGACCAACCTGCAAAATATGTTTAAATACAGTAGACACATCGCCTCACCACAGGTCAGCAAACGAAAAATGCCTCTTTAGAGGTTACAGACGAATAACCATTTTCTGTGGTTAAGATAAGTTACATGCAAATTATTGTTAACTACTGGGATTTCTGAAAGAGCTTTCCAAGTGGCCTATAGGCTTAACTAAGGGACAAAGGAATCCCTGGTACTTGGCTTTGCAGAGTCCTGGGCTATTCTTAGTGTTTGGTTCATCTTTAAATTGCATGAGTTCAAAAGGTTTAGCAACTTAAAAGTAGAACCAAGTGATAAAAATAGATTGTTTTCTGGCTGCTCTTTGTTCCCAGACATACTACTGGCAGTATATTTGCAATCAAGACGACAGAATAGGAATCAGCCTTCCACCGTGTAGTGTAATGCCTCAGAGTGGATATTTTTGGAAATGGCACTGCATTACATAACCTTCCGTGTTTAAAAAAAAAAAAAAAACCCTACACGGCGGGGGGGGTGGGGGGAGTCAGGAATATACACCATTCTGTCCTTCTCCCTAAACCAAATAAACATTAATGTACATACTGCTGCAGTGATTTACCCTCAACCTTTATATTATCAGAAGACCGCTCTTTTGTTAACACAGTTATGACAAAAATTAAGATGAATGGAGAAACTAAAAGTTCTCAAAAAGGGTATCATTCGCTCTTAGAGTTTTCCTATAATGTTATTATAGATACACATAAATGCACATCAGATTATTATAATCACCAAGAAAAAAACAGTCATTTATTTTTAAGGCCCTCCCCGCCAAAGTTCAACTGCTTTATAAGAAAATGCAGAAAAAAGTGCTGCAAGATCGAATGCCTAAGAAGACCCTCGGAAGCAGCAGCATTGAAAGAGTAATCAAGTGTAAGGGCGGAGGGACACAAATTCATTTTATAAAAAGGGAGGAAAAGCTTGCATGCACCAAAGTGCATTTAATGCAAAGAAACACAACAGTTTCTAACAAGGCTTTAGGAGCAAGAAGAACAAAATTAACCACACCAACAAGCACAAAACCCCACCCCTTCCCAAAAGAATTCATTTCTCCCTCCGAACTTGTGCATTTTAGAAAAAACCCAAGTTAAATTCCAGCCTGAATGCAGCACAACCAAAATGCCAGAATTTCTCCAAGGTACACGCTTCAGCTCTTTAAAATTTAGAGGGAAGAAGCATGAACTCTGCAGGGTTGAAGGGTCCAGCTAAGAGCAACGGCAAGGAATCGACACAAAAGAGAAACCAGCGCTCCCAGCCGGGGATAGGAATGGCATATACTTACAGACAAAAGCCCCGCTCCCTGTTCACTCTCTCTCCTCTCTACACCTGAAACACAAATGTGGTTGAAAAAGGGCAACATGCTAGAAAGACAGATTGGGGGGGGAGGGGGGATTGGGGGAGGGAGGGGGAGGGGAAAGGGGTGGAGGAAGAGGAGGGAGGAGGGGGAAGGGAAACAAAACCCAAACCGGCTTCACTTCCAAGAAGTGCAGCCTTGGAAAAAGGAGGAGGAGATCATCTCCCTGCCTCGCGCTCTCTCTCCAAGAGTGTGTGTGTCTCTCTCTTTCTCTAAGAGTCTCTCTCTCTCCCTTTCCCTCTCTCTCCCGCTAGGGTGCTAGTGAACAATGAGCTAATTCTGATGGAGCTGGCGCGGAGCCAGCGCCCCAGCCTTGCTGCCACTGTGCAGCCGCCTAGGAGCCAGACTGCTTACTCGGCAGGAATCGGCGGCTCTGGGCCCCGTCGGCGAGCGGCCAACAGGCGCGCGCGCCCCGACACCCCGCACCCGCGCCCCGGGCGCCCCGCTCGCCGCGCCGTCCCCACTGCACCGCGCGGCGCCCCGGGGAGACAAAGCGGACCCGCAGCTCTGCGCCCCGGCCCCGCCCCGGGAGCACGGCGCGCGCAAATCCCCGGCCTTCCTCCCCGCCCCCGGCCAGCCTCTCCGCCTCGACGTGCGGTTGCTTTTCAGACAAATAAGGAGGTGGAGGAGGCGGTTTGGGGGCGCGCCAAGCGTGAAGGCGGCCAGGGTGCTGCACAGCCCGGCGGCCCGCCAGGGCCGTGGGGAGAGGCGGCGCGGCCCGTACTGTAATAATAAACCTGCAGCAGAGGGCATCTGAGGAAAAGAGGACGGCGACGGGCGGCAGCCGCCTTCCTTTTATGTGCCTGTCCTGAGCGAAGCAGAAAATGGTGCCTGCGGCGGCGCGGAGCCGCGCTCAGACACACAAAGAGTCCGCGAAGGATGCATTTGCACACGGCCTCGGGTCGGACCCTGCCCCTCAGCTGGGTACGCGCGCCCCACTCCCTTCCGCGGGGAAGCCCGGGGCGGGGAGCGCCCCTGAAGGCCGGGCCCAGAGGTCCTGTGGCTGCGCGTGCACACACACACGTGCACACAGTCACACGCGCACAACCAGCCAGAGCTGCGGCCTGGCGTGATCGGCCCAAGACATACTCCCCTGGTGCTTCCTTCTCCTTCCCTATACGCTCCCCCACTGCCTGCCCGTCTGAAATTGTACTTTTTAAAATCGAGGATTGCTTTAAAAAATAAAGTGCTTTGCCATTTCTGATTTTTGTAAACTCGTCGTTCTTATTTAAAATCTATCTTTTCATAGTAATGTAATAGCTCAAAATTTTGCAACAAACTCAAATAAACTGGTTCTGTTGCCAATAAAGCAGGATATCATTTTATGGTAACTCTCAGATGTCACAGGAGAAGATTATTTCCTAATTAAATTGCCTTTCCAAGAAAAAAAGATATAAAGGATCATAGTGTCTTCTAAATTTGCCATCCACTTTTTCCCCTAATCACTGAAAGCAATGTTTTCCATTGTAACAAAGAAAATAAGGCAAATTTACAAAACTCAATTTTTAAACGTGTTTACAGAATGTCTGATGTTTTAGATTTAACATACTGGGTACAGCAATAGCAAACCTTAAAAAGCAATACTTTACACTCACAATTCTAAAAGAATGCACTGAGTTCTCTGTATGCTTGTTGCTGGGACTATAGGTCACCTTTAAAACTACAAAGCCATTGCCACAACAAATGCCTGTTAGACTGCACTGGGTATGATGTTTAAGGAGCCCACTGAAAGCTTCTCTGAATTAATCTAAAACATCACAGTAATTTTCCTGCAAAAATAAGATGATTTGGCAGCCATAGCTAGGAACAAAGGGAAGAAATATAAAACTCAACAAATTCCCTTGACCCTTTCAGGCCAGTTTACCAGCCAGGGAAGTACTGGAAGGAAGGTGTAAGGCATAGGCTGGGTGGTGGGAGAGGGGAGACGCCTGGGGGCTGATCTGCAAGTCTGGAACCCCAACACGCTGCTCAAGGGCACCTCAACATTGAGATCTTTGGCATTCACCTCAGGGTCAGGCTGGGAAAGGACCCCAAGGGCGCACCATCAAATCAGACTACCAAAAATCTATCCCAGTGATATTTGTTCAAAAGCTGCTTCTACAAGGAAACATACATATAAACACATACATACACAGGGACTTTAACGTTTATGTAAAACTTCCCTAAGATGTTCTTTCACAGAGAAGTGTTAATTTTTCTTTCTTTCTTTCTTTCTTTTTTTTTTTTTAAGAAATGGAGACTTACCATGTTACCATGTTGCCCGGTCTCAAACTCCTGGATTCAGGCAATCCTCACTACGGCCTCCCAAAGTGCTGGGATTACAGGCACAAGCCACCTCTCTTGGCCAATTTTTCTTCATTGTAATGATAGACATTCAGGTGACAGATTTTTAAGTATTAAGAACACTGGGTCAGATTCATAGCTTATTTATCTGTTGTGTTCCAGAAAACGGTTATCATCCAACTATCCAAGAAACATTCTTGAGTCTCCTCTAGGTGAAGGGGGCTGTGCTAATCACTTAAGGATATATGAGAAACTCATGCCATGTCACCTCACTCAAACTGTAGCTATAGCTGTCTCACAGTCCTCCTAGCTGCCATGTTCTGCCCTCTTCCATCTATCCTGTAGGTGTTACAGTAGACCCACTCTTCTAAAATTTCTTTTTAATCATGGTATCCCCTGCTCCATTACGGGATAAAGGCCATATTTTGCCACAGTGTGACTATAGTCTGACTTTCTAACCTTATCATCTCTCTCTCAATCATAGAATATCAGTCCTTCACTTCACTCTGATTGATCATTTAGGGCACATAATTATCCCTAAGCCATTACCAGTCAGGAAGCAAAGTCACGCAAAGATTGACTTCAGCTAAGATGTCTCAACCCTTCAGTTATATTGACATTTGGGACAAGATAATTTTTTGACGGGGTGAGGATGGAGGGTGAGGCTGTCCTGTGCATAGTATAATGTTTAACAACATCTCTGGCCTCTACCCATCAGATGCCTGTAGGAAACGCCAGTTGTCACAACCAGATATGTATCCAGACACTACCAAATGTTCCAAGGGGTCAGGGAGACTCATCCTTGATTGAGAACCACTAGCTCTAACAATCAGATCCATCTCCTGAGGTGGAAAGAGGTAGCCTCCCTTGAGTTATGTGCACTGCATTGAAGAGGGACAGAGACCTGACCCAAATCAGGATTTTCGTAGGGAGGAGGAAAGGGAAGTAGGCGATGTCCTTATCTTCATGGAATTTGTCGTCTGGGGTGAAGGGGTAAAGAGACAGCCAAAGCCAAAGTGAAGGTGCAGTGTGATAAGGATGATTGTAGAGTTCTTGCACAGGTTTCACTGTGGATGCCAGGGCTCCTTTCTAAATCAGACCAGCAGTTCAAAGAAAGTTTGCTAAGGGAGGTGAGGCCTAAACTGAATTTGTGAAGAATGAGAAAGAGTCAGCAAGTTGAAGGAGGAAAGGGGCCTTCTGAGCAGAGGCAGGGGCAGATCATGAGCTAAGAAATTTGACTGATGACTGATGACATCCAGATGGTATAAGAAAATAAAAACCCTGGGTCAGAACCTGATTCTTGGGTTCTGTCCCTGGCAAGTATGCCAAAGAATAGTCCCTCACAGGATTTGCTCAGTAGAAAAGGATGTACTTTAGACACAGGATTTTTCTTCTCCCTTAGATATGTCATTCTCAAGTATTTCCTGATTATAGCTAAATGTATCTCAAATCTATATATTCCTGCAACTTTATTAATTTTTGGTCAATGTCATTGCTTGGGGTAACCAGTTCCATGAGTCTGAGTTCCAGGTGAAAGGTTAGTAGAAAAGTGGTTAGAGCCAGCTCTATGTGGCCTTGGATAAGTCATTTAACCTTTTAGTCTCAGTTTATTCATCTTTCAGTTGGAGTTCATACCATAGTGCCAAATTGTTGTATTATGTGAGACTGTGTACAGTGTTTAGCATATAAGTTAACATTACATATACAGTAGCAATAGGTATTATAGACTGCTTTATAGAACAAAACTTATATGATGTTTCCTGATGGATCCCACCTCTCCTTCTGGCCTCATGTCTTGTCCTCTCTGGTCAGATTGAATGAGGGCACTTTTGCAGTGAGTTACACTGTTGCACAACCCTTGAGCCTTTCCACATGCTATTCCTCCTGCTGGAAGGCCCCTTTCCCACTTCTTCAATTTGCTAATTCCTGCTCCTTCTTCTCACATTCAGTTTAGGCATCACCACCTTTTTAAGAAATGTTCTTTGAACTGCTGATCTCATTTAGAAAGGAGTCTTTGTGGTCACAGTGCACCAGGTACAGAACTCTACACTTGTCCTTACCACTCTACACCTGAACTTGGACTTTATTTTTCTGTCTTCACCACTAGACTATAAATTCCATGAAGGAACAGATCGCAGGATACATTGTTGATCGCATATGTAACATCCATTATCCCTTTCTTCCTTCTCAACGAAATCTTGATTTTTGTCCTGGTCTCCATCCCTCCCATACAGCCTGCTAGATCCAGGGAAGGTGACGCCAAGGAATAGATTCTAATTATCTTAGCCAATCAGTGTATTGAATTGGATCTGATAATGGGCTAATAAGCAGGTGACCTAAGTTCAACCAATCAGACCGAAGGGAAAGAATTGTATTTCATGCTTAAGAAATGTGAATGCTATTCTTAAAGTAATGCAAAACTGTAGAAGAAATGTAATCTGAAAGTGACAAGATTTTTTTTTTCCAGGGAAGGTTATTCTGAGAGTAATTTGGCGGATGGATTTGAGCACGGAGAAGGGGCAGAAATGAGGAAATGAGTTCAATTTCAGAGAATATTAGAGTAATTCACATGAGTAAATATGAATGGCCCAAATTAAGATGGAGGGCATGGGAAAGGAAAAGAGGGAAGGAGTCAAGTTGCATTATGGAGTTAGAATTGCAGGACTCATTATGGGTTCAGAAAGCACAGGAGATTAGCTGGAGAAAAGAGTCTAAGATGATTCTAGATTCTGGCTTTGTGACTGCTTGGATGATGATGGGATTTCCTAAAACAGAAAATACAGGAAGAAAAGTGTCTATGGGAGGATCAGTGGGTGACACTGAGTTCAATTTTATACCTGTTGAATGTATAACACACATATTCAATGATGTTCCAGTAGCTATCTTTGAGTAATTTTCTTATCACCAGCTCCCTTTTCCTCATGCTTCCTTCCTGTTATGGGCTGAATTGTGTCCCCTCCCCCCACACACCACCCCCAAAATGTACATGCTAAAATCTGAACTCTCAGTACCTCAGAATGTGACTGTATTTGGAGATAGGGTCTTTAAAGAGATAATTAAGGTAAAATGAGGTCATATGGTCGGGCTCTAACCTGAAGTGACCAGTGTCTTTCTAAGAAGAGATTAGGACACAGACACATACATAGGGAAGACCACACGAAGATGTGGGAAGAAACACATCTAACACCAGGGAAACAAACCCCAGTGACACCTTAGATCTCAGAATTCTAGTCTCCAGAACTGTAAAGAAATGAATGCCTGTTGTTTAAGCCCTCCGGTCTGTGGTACTTTGTTATCGCAACCGTGGGAAACTAATAGACCGCCCTTGCAGCAAACATGTGGAAGAGTAAAGGATTTGTAGTATTTGCATTTGTTATGAGGTTTCGGATATTCTACAATGCAAAGTCTGAGGAAGAGCCTGAAGCTAAAGAAGTTATACGTCCAGGGCTTTATCCAAACCCAGAAGGTTGCTTACATATGTGTATAAAAGTTGAAGTCAGGAGGGCTCCACTAAAATTCACGGCTCGTTTTTCTCAGAACAGCATTCCAAAACACATAAGGGAAAGGAAACCGATTTACAATTGACCCTGTCCACTTTCAAGTTTCCAGCTGTATTTACACAGCTGCTGAAGGCAGCACAGATGAGAGATTCTCCCCTTCATCACTGAGAAACCCACACCAAGAGTATGCTCAGTGTCTTCGTATTAGACGATTCAGTAAGTCTCAGGGAGGAACACAAAATATCAGGAACTCAGCCATTGACACTGGGGATGCTGACAATGAGAGGAGGAAAAATAGATGTAAACTTAGCAAATTGTGAAATATGAATGCAAAAGCAAACACAGGAGGACTTACAACCTACATGACTCTATAAAATATGATGAACAGAGCATTTAAAAGATAAAGGACAAATGTAAGATGTGAGGAACTTTTGAAAATTATGGTGCTTTCAATCTTGTATTTTACTCAACACCTGGAAATAATTGTAAATCCCTGGAAAAGTCAAGTTTGTCCTCCTGGAGGTGAAGAACAAGGAGGTTGTTGCAGAAACAAAGAGATAAACGAAAGGAATGTCTCAAAGGAAGATTTATCCAGATTATCCTACCACGCAAAACAGACCATATGAAACACATTTTAAAATTATCCTCCTTCTTGCCTTAAAACTGATCTGCATCATGGTACAAAACTGTAAAAATAATACTGGTAGTTAATGCTGTTCTAAAACAAGAAAAAGAAATTATTTTAAAATCCCAGTACGTCTGTATGTGTGTGTGTGTGTGTGTGTTTGTGTGTGCGCGCACGCGCATGCTTATTTGTGTTAACGAATTTGCATTAACAAAGTAGAATGTTTGTTCCCCCTGGAAGAATTTTTTGAATTTTACAATTATAAATGGGTATTTTCTGTAACACTGGGGAAATGCAGAAACATGCTCTAAGAAGCTGATAACATATATACTGTCTGGTTATAGACAAGGTAGTGCTTGTCTTACCAACCAAACGGTGGATTAACAAAAAAAACCTCTATATGTACATATCCCCTGATATGATGCCATGGTTAAAACAAATTCCATACATACTAAATATAATTTTGAAGTTAACTTAAGCATCTTGACAGCTAGGCAAAATACTATCCTGTTCCATTGACCTTAGCCTCAGAACTTAGGATTCAATAGGGCCTGCAGCATCCAGGGTTATGCTTTCAGGTGCTCCATTTAGGCACCTTCTTCAGCTGACCACTAGTTGTGAAGTTGCTTCAGTTCAGAGGCAGAGATGGAAGGAGGGGGTTGGCCCAAAAAGAAAGGGCTGATTGAAGGCTGTATTATTCTGTTTTCATGTTGCTGATAAGACATACCTGAGACTGGGCAATTTACAAAAGAAAGAGAGGTTTAATGGACTTATAGTTCCACATGGCTGGAGAGGCCTCACAATCATGGCAGAAGGCAAGAAGGAGCAAGTCACATCTTACGTGGATGGCAGCAGGCAAAGAGAGAGCTTGTGCATGGAAACTCCACTTTATAAAACCATTAGATCTTGTGAGACTTATTCACTATCACGAGAGCAGCATGGGAAATACTTGCCCCCATGATTAAATTACCTCCCACCAGGTCCCTCCCACAACACGTGGGAATTCAAGACAAGATTTGGATGGGGACACAGCCAAACTATATCAAAGGTGAAAGATCTTTGCCTTTAGAATGAGGTTCTTAAAAACATAATAATAAGGAGGTTTTTCTTTTCAAATGTTAGGGTAGTATTTTTATTCTTGTAATGATACCCAAGAAGGTAAACCCCTGACAGAAACTTCAGACATTAGATGGTATGGTCCTCTGGAATTCATAGAAGTACACATATAAAGAATTATGAAGGTGCTTGCATTTAACAGTAATTTCATATGTTTGTTGCACTTTCTAACTTGTAAAAATATTTCAGTATGTATCTCACAAGCTATGAGAACCTGATTTTATTATTCCTATTTCACAGATGAGAATCAGAGGTAGAAAAAAATGAAGGCCGTTACATAGGATCACAGCTCTAGTTAATAACACTGATTGGACTGTCTAAATCAGCATTCTCCAACCTTTTGGGCAACAGGGACTGGTTTCCTGGAAGACAATTTTTCCATGGAAGGTTGGGGGTATGGTTTTGGGAGAAAACTGTTCCACCTCAGATCATCGGGCATTTGGTTCTTATAAGGAATGCACAAGCTAGATCCCTCATTTGTGCAGTTCACAGTAGGGTTCACAGTCCTATGAGAATCTAATGCCACCAATGATCTGACAGGAGGCAGAGCTTAGGCAGTAATGCTTGCTCACCCACCACTTACCTCCCGCTGTATGGCCTGGTTCCTAATAAGCCATAGACCAGTACCAGTCTGCACCTTGGGGTTGGAGACTCCAGGTCTAAATCATGACTAGACTGCATAAGCCCTAATTTCTCATAAAGTTGCATTTAAAGCAGGCATTCTCCGTGTACAGGCACTGTTAGCTCAAGAACTATATAGCCCTTGCATCAATTCTGTGACATAGGTATCATCAGTATCCTTACTTCACAGATGAGAAACTGAGGTGGAGAAAGGTTAAGCCACCACATTACTTAACACAGTGTAAGCCGCGGAGCTGGGATGTGAACCCAAGAAGTTTGGCTCCAGAATTCAGTCTCTTAACCGTCATGCTCACCTTCGTTGCCGTGCCTAGAAGCCTAGAAATTTGCAGATCCAATGGACATGATTAGGGCTTCATCCCTTGGCATCTCTTTATTTCTTGGCTTCACTTGGTTCTCTTGGTTTCTTCTTTGACCTCTCCTTCTTGATTTTTTTTGCTGACTCATCTTCATTTTACTATCCCATAAATTCTAGCATTTTCCAGGTATGAAATGGTTCTTCAGGCAGAACGATTTGTAAAAATGGCACCTACACTTCCTAAATCAGCTTGTGATTTTTTTGAGGTGATTATTTCACAAATGGTTTTGAACCACACCATTTGCCAGTTACTCCACCACATACTGATAATGAAATATTGTCAGAAAACTAAAAAACTGAGGTTCCCTCTCCCCACTTCACAGACATATAATCATTTACATATTATTACAGTTCCTTTTAAAACTGCACTTCGTAACTTCAAGTTCATCTTGATTTCAGTGTTGCATATAGCCTTTTCATTCTAAATTACACAACTTGCTGGAATCAAATGTGTCCTAGTCATTTTTTTTAAACACTGTAAAGTTTTACTTTGGTTGATCCTCAAAGGCATCACAATAAAACAGTAAGAATTTGACTCTGTGACTGGGAAAACCTAAGAGGATTCTGAGACTGTTCATATTAAAAGTTGATATCAGGACAGTTCCAAGAAAAATTGTCAGGTTTCCATTTGCACGGATTTGCCTCATTTTGCATCAAAACGTCAGTGCCTTAAAACCTCCAGCTATAATCCCTTAACTGTGAAAGGGTTGAAAAGAGTTGAAAGGGTAATGAAAGGCTTCTGCTATTCATCAGAGAAAAATCTTATGGTTAGAGAACCAAGAACACAAGCGTGAAGGGAAGTGTAATGTTATTCCCTCTTATCCACCTTCAGCTGCTTCCCACATACTGAGTCTACTTCAGATGGATATCCAAAAATCTCTCTTCTTGGGTCCTCTGCTCCCTTTGTCAACTAGGCCATCCTAACCCTCTGTCTCTTCCCTCTTTCTCCTGCCATCCCCTAGAGTTCTGTTGCTTCCTCCCTACAACCTCAGGTTCAGATTGTCAGTTCACTGATTTCTCCTCCATGGAGCTGGGTTTCCTTCTGGTTCTGGTGAAGGAGAAGGGCCAAAGGCCCAAGAAAGGGTGGGTGAGTGAATTTTCCTCGGAAGGACTTGGCAAGGAAAGCATTTTTTCTTGGTCATAAATCATATGGGTGGTAGTGGTAATTCTTCATTGGTTGCTAAGTTCTGAAACTTCTTCATTCCTTCTGTCAAAAAATTTACTTTTTACACTTTTACAGTTTTAAATGTCCTGAATTCTTTTTGTCTACTTTTCACAAACTGCAATTTACTTTAACATTCCTCCCACCCTAAGAATTTGAATGCACACGTGAAAAAAGCCTCAATTGGTAACACATAAACACATCTTCAGGAATTTAAGCAGTCAAGAATTTTTATTTCAACTTGGGTTAGGCTGATCTGAGGTTAGATAGAATATGAAGGAAGATTTTTATGAAAGAAATTAGATAAACTGGATTTAAGCTTTTAAAAGTTTATATTTATGTTTTAAAGTCTGAGCACACTTTCAGTAATTTTCACAAAATGTACCATAAATTACTCCTCCCCGCCAAAAAAAAAATCTTATTAGTTTCCGAAGAATCTATGCATAGGTATAGTTCACTGGCAGCTCTCTCAAGTGGCTTTACAACGTAAACAGCAGCAGAAATCTCTCTAACACAGACATCTTTCCCTTTGTCTAAGTGTCCACAGCACATTTCTACCTGAAGGACCCACAAGCATCATAAACTCAGCTAATCCAAAACTGCTTACCATCTCCCTTGAATAGCTGGGACTATTTTCTGTTCTCTGTTTATGCAAATGGTCTCACGTCCACGTACTCCATCAAGGTGAAAACCTTCCTCAACTCCCTCTTCCACTTGTCCCCAATTTGTGTTAATGCTGTGTGTTTTTCCAAAAAAATTATGGCTGCTTTTTGGTTGTTTGTTTTTTTGTTTTGAGACAGAGTCTTTCTCTGTAACCCAGGCAAGAGTGCAGTGGCACAATCACAGCTCACTACAGACTCCACCTCCTAGTCTCAAGTGATCCTCCCACCTCAGCCTCCTGAGTAGATGGAACTACAGGCTTGTGCCGCCCTGCCTGGCTAGTATTTTAATTTTTTTAAATATGGGGTCTCCCTGTTTTCTCTGGGCTGGTCTCAAACTCCTGGGCTCAAGTGATCCTCCTGCCTCGGCCTCCTAAAGTGCTGGGATTCTAAGTGTGAGCCATGGTACCTAGCCTGTAGTACATGTTTAATATGAAATATAATGCACCTATTTAAAATTCTAGTTAGAACTATATCTCTTGTCTTGAAGGATGTCCACAAGGATGTCCTTCTGTCAAAATGGAAAAGAAATCTATAGGATAATATGCATATTACAAATCAGGTTTTGTAAGATGGCATTAACAACAGTTTAAAGCAAATAAACAAAAAGAAGCTGCCCCTCTCTCTGTCTGTGAGGTAGAATTGGTGGGAGAGTAGAGAACCAGGTGGAATGACTTATACCAGGGGGTCAACAGTGGTAGCCTCAAGAAAATAGGAGCAGAAGGAGATTATGGATTTTGTGCCTTTTTGGTTTGATTTGTTTTGGAAGCACATCTTGCTTTTGTTGTTTGGCTTTTGTTGTTTGCTTTTATTATAATTTCAACTTTTATTTAGATTCAGGGGGTACATATGCATGTTTGTTACCTGGTTATATTGTGTGGTATTGAGGTTTGAGATATGAATGATCCTGCCACACAGGTAATGAGCACAGTACCTTAAAGTTAGTTTTTCAACCCTTGCTCTCCTCTCTCTGCCCCCTCTAGTAGTCCCTAGTGTCTATTTTTGCCATCTTTATGTCTATGAGTACTGAATGTTTAGCTTCCACTTCTAAGTGAGAAGGTGTCGTATTTGAATCTCTGTTCCTGCATTAATTTGCTTAGGATAATGGCCTCCAGCTGCATCTATGTTACTGCAAAGGACATGATTTCATTTTTTATGGCTGTGTAGTATTCTGTGGTTTATATGTACCATGTTTTCTTTATTCAGTCTACCATTGATGGGCACGTAGGTTGAGTCCACGTCTTTCTACTGTGAATGGTGCTGCAATTAACATACAAGTATATATACCTGTCTGGTAGAACCATTTGTTTCCTTTCAGATGTATACCCAATAATGGGAATGCTGGGTTGAATGGTAGTTCTGTTTTAAGTTCTTTGAGAAATCTCCAAACTGTTTTCCACAGTGGCTGCACTAATTTATTTTCCCATCAACAGTGTAAAAGCATTCCCTTTTCTCTGCAGCCTTGCCAGCATCTGTTGTTTTTTTTGACTTTTAATAATAGGCATTCTGACTGGTGTGAGATGACATCTCATTGTGGTTTTGATTTGCATTTCTTTGATGTTAATCCTATATCTTAAATGGGATACATCAAGCATCAGTTTAAGCATTACCTTTGGTGTGAAGCTTCCCTGATGGCTGTGGTTACTCCCCACAGCACTATTCCTTCATCTTCAATAAATATTTATTGAGCATCCACTTGCTATTTGCAAGGCAAAATGCTAGGCACCAGAGTTACAGCGGTGGACAAGATAGACCCCCACACTGTCCTAATGGAACTTAATTCTATAATTACAATCACAAATCCAAGGCACAAGAAACAAATTAGTATAAGCAGGGCATTTTCAGATAAAGAAAATTAACAACAACAACAAAATGACCGGGCAAAGAATGCCTGGGGGGAGGGTGAGGAAAGCGGTATTTAGGCAAGGCCTCTTTGAGGCAGCACTTGAGCTAGGACCTGAATAAGAAGCCAAGGTTGAAAGATATTGGGGGAGTGGGGTGTATTCATCTGTCTTCATACTGCTGTAAAGATACACCTGAGACTGCGAAATTTATGAGGAAAACAGGTTTAATTGGCAAACAGTTCTGCAGGCTGCACAGAAAGCATGGCTGGGAGGCCTCAGAAAACTTACAATTATAGCAGAAGGCGAAGGGGAAGCAAGCCCGTCTTACTATGGTGGAGCAGGAGAAAGAGAGTAAAGGGGGAAGTGCTACACACTTTTAAACCACCAGATCTTGAGAGAACTCACTTAATATCATGAGAACAACAAGGGGGAAACCTACTTCCATGATCCCATCACCTCCTACCAGGTCTCTTCCCCAACACTGAGAATTACAATTTGACTTGAGATCTGGGTGGGGACACAGAGCCAAACGCCAAACCATATCAGTGAGTATTCCTATCAGAGGCAGAAAGTAAGTGCAAAGGTACTCACGCATGAATCCCTGAAGATGTTCAAGAGATAGGGAGGCCGTGATTGAGATAATGTGACTGGACTATAGTGAGCAAGAGGAAAGAACAATCAATATAAGATCAGAAAATTAGACATTCTAGTTTAGCACTTATCATGTCTATTGTAAACCTTCTGCTGGCTTTGCTTATCACCAGACTTCAGGAATATTTTTCAATTTTTATAACCCCAATGTCTGAGACAGAGTCTGTGTACAAGTATAAAAGCATTCATGTTTTTCTTTCAAAAAGTGAGTTTATAGTGGCCAGATTTGTTCAAGATATTGAGGTTTTATTGACTATTTCATAAATTAAATCAATATTATAAAGATACATAGAATTTGTGGATTATTACAAAAGGAAACTATAATTTCTCTATGCTGCAGAGGCAAGTTCTTAACTTTAGAATTCATTTGAGGTTTTAAAATTAGTTTTCCTAATCCTTAACCATACCTAGCTCAAGCTTGATTTAGTACCAAAGTTGAAATTAAGTTGATGCTAACATGCCTACAGTTTAGGAATAAAAAATATTATTTGGTAAAGAAGAATTATTTCCTTTTTTTTTTTTTTTTTTTTTTTTTTTTTTGAGACAGAGTCTCACTCTGTTACCCAGGCTGGATGGAGTACAGCGAAACAATCACGGCTCACTACAGCCTCCCCCTCCCAGGCTGAAGCCATTCTTCGACTTAGCCTTCCGAGTACCCTGGACTACACATGCGCGCCACCATGCCCAGCTAATTTTTGTATTTTTTGTAGAGACAGGGTCTCACCGTGTTGCCCAGGCTGGTCTCTAATTTCTGGGCTCAAGCCATCCACCCGCCTCAGCCTTTCAAAGTGCTGGGACTACAGGTGTGAGCCACTAAGCCAAGCTAATGAATTATTTCTAATTTCCTCTTCAGCAAGCAAGAGAAGAAGAGCTCCAGCTTAATTTGAATGAGTTCTTTCAAAACATTTTCTAAAGTTCATGCATGGAACTTTTCTCTCTTCCAGGAAACAAACAATATAGAAATTTTGTTTTTCTCTGAAGAATAAAGTGTTCAAACTTATTCTTGTCTCATGAAGAACACAACAATATTTTATAATTTTTTTCCTACAACTATTAGGAGAATTGCATTGATACTTTATTTAGAAATAATAAAATGATGCAGAATGCTTCACATAGTAGGTAAAGACACATGAATGATGGAAGGGAAGAATAAAAGGAGCAGCTATTGAGGAGGTACATTTTCAGAAGTAGTATGTAAAGCACATTCACCTGTGAAATCTCTCTTACACTTCACAGATTCTTTGAGTTAGGCATTCGTTAACTCATTTTAACAGATCTGAGATTACTGAGTAAATACTCTGCCTGAGATCACACACAGTTAATAAATGACAGAGACAGGATTTGAAAGCAGAACTGCCTGGTGAGAGGCTTCATAGTCTTTTACACACACACACACACACACACACACACACACACACACATATGCACACTTGAACATTTATGTGCGGTGGCTCATGCCTGTAATCCCAGCATTTTGGTAGGCTGAGGGGGGCGGATAGCCTGAGGTCAGAAGTTCGAGACCAGCCTGACCAACATGGAGAAAACTCGTCTCTACTAAAAATACAAAAATTAGCTGGGAGTGGTGGCACATGCCTGTAATCCCAGCTACTTGGGAGGCTGAGGCAGAAGAATAGCTTGAACCCGGGAGGTGGAGGTTGTGGTGAGCCAAGATCATGCCATTGCACTCCAGCCTGGGCAACAAGAGTGAAACTCCATCTCAAAAAAAAAAAAAAACAAAAAAATCAATAGAATATTTAGAAGCAAGATTTTATTGTGCCATCAATATTCAGTATTTCCCTATCCTAATGAAAACCAAAAGTTATAGCAAAGTCCCTAAGAACTATATTACTTCGATTTTAGCTAGAGAACTGAAGCAAAAAAACTGTGATTATAGAATGATTTTTTTAAAAATCCATTAAAAACACTTAGCTAATCAGTTGTTATAAATGCTACTGTAAGATGCTGTCATTAGGAGAACTTTTAGAGGAAATGAAGTTATTAGGAATTCCACGATCTGTAAAACAGAGGAGTTGGACTGGAAGATTCTCCAAATTCCTTCAGTACTAACATTCTAAAATCCTATAACTCTACAGCTTGAAATGTAATTACTGTGTGAAAATTTACAAGCTAGGTTTTCTGCTTAAATGTGATTCTTTAGTTGCCCTCATGCTGTGACTTGTAAAATTATCATCTCAATCACAGTATATTTGGCCAAGAGCCTTATTTTTCCACTCCTGATAAATAACCAGAGGTGAGAGAATAGAAGGTTTTTTGTTTGTTTTAAACTCTTCAGTAGTTTTGAAATACAATTCATTTGTTATTTTTGTTCATCCTTGTTTCACTAAATTTATAGAAACAATTTTGAGATTTTCATCATTAATATACAAAACTTTTGTTTAAAAAATGTGATTACATTTTGACCCAAGAAATATTCCAGTTTCCGAAAGTCTGGAGGTTCAGCTGCAATCAGCAAGTCATGGTTTGGTTTGAGGGAACATCTTTATGCACCTGAGAAGCATCATCAGCCTGGCTCTACTAAAAGGAACAGGTGTGCAGCCTCAGAGAAGCAGCAACAAGTCCTCTCATTCAGCCCCTCCCCCGAGACACCAACAGGGATGCTGCTGGTCCTTTATGGGAACTGCAATCACAGCCTTCGACCCGGGAAAGCAGCATGTTTCCCATGAAGACACAACTGGAGTCACTTCTGACTCAGCACCTGAAAGATGTTGTTTTCCTGAAGTGTATCTTTTCATTAATCTTCTTTATTATGTATTATTAATAATAGGAGTTTAATATAAACGATGCTGTGTTTCATAGCATGACAGCTTTGGATTAGGTAATGTTATCTTGTTACTAATGGTTACTGCTGCTTAGTTTCTCTTAAATAGCAAAATGATGATATTCAAATGTTCCATTTTAGGTTCCGTGTTTATCTGTTTTCAACTAAGTCAACATAGTATTGATAATTCTAGAATTTTACTATAAACATACTTGTTCATACATCATCTATATGTCTCTAGCTGTAATCCCAACAGACAATAGATTGTGCAAGTCATAGTGCATATAACTTTCATTCAATTCTCTGAGCCTTTTTTTTTAAATTTTTTTTTAAACTACTGTCTTTGCAGGAGACTGAGCTTCAATTCTCTGAGGGGAAACCAAAAAAAGGAGAGAAGAAAAGGAACTATTATCTGCTCAGCAGTAAACTATGTTCTGGGAAGATATACCTTAGGAGGGAGAGAGAATCATAAACATACATAAAAACTAATAAACACCTACTTCTCTAAAGCAGATGTAACAATAAATAGTATTTGGAGGTTACTAATTGGTCCTTGGCCACTCCAAGAAAATAGTGGTCACACAGTGCTTTTATTTCACATAAACCAAGAATTAGCAGCTAATGTAATAGTCAAAATCTCTTTGCTCAAGAAATTAGAAGATGATTATTTATTCTACTGAGGATATTTAACAATGAGGATTTATCTTTAATAAAATTTGTTGGGGAGGATTGGAAATCTGTTGTTTTCAGTTGTGCAACAAAGATCTACAAGAATTTGCCCCTTGGTACATTATAATCAAAATTTTCACGCAAAAATGTCTCTATATTATCTACAAGGAAGACTCTAGGACCAAAATTAAGGTTTGAGATCATCTAAAGTTTTCCTTTACTAAAGTGGGTTATTTCTCTGTTCAAAAATATAATGCCTTCTACAGAGTGCCTAATATTCTTTCTTATTTTTTGAAAAACACTGTCAAGTCCAAATTTGGTTCTGGCACACAGAGTTTTATGTGTTCTCTCCCTGGTACCCTGCTTGTAGAGAAATCTTGCGGGGCTTAGGGCAATCCCAAGAGTGTAGCTTATACCAAAAGACCACACTCCTGGACCAGGAAGACCCTTCAACCTGGGCTCTTACCCGTGGGGGAGGTGACACAAAGCATGCTCGTCCCTAGAGTTTTCTACTCTGATCTGAGAATTTATAAACCACTTGACAAATTCCCCATTCAATATGTATTCCCAGAATTTAGACTGAAGCCTCAGGACAAAGAACTCTAGAAACATCATTGAACTAATTAGCATTGATTTAGTTCTCCTTATATTACATGTCCAGCATTATGCTAGATACTGTAGATGAGAGAGGGAAAGGAAAAAAGGGAGGGAGGAAGAAAGGAAGGAAGGAAGAAGGGAGGGAAGGAAGAAGGGAGGGAGGGAAGGAGGGAGAGAAGGAGGGAGAGAAGAAGGGAGAGAAGAAGGGAAAAAGACATATGATATTATGGTAGGCAGAATATTGGCTGCCAAAGATGTCCACATTCTATCTCTATAACCTCCAAATATGTTACCTTACATGGTAAAAGAGACTTTGCTAATATAATTAAGGTTGCAGACCTTAAAATAGGATGATTATCCTGGATTATCCAGTTGTGCCCACCTAATCACACTTGGGCCTTTAAAAACATAGAACCTCCCTTCAGCTGCAGCAAGGAGAAAGGCCACAGAAAGGGGAATGCAGCGTTTCAAAGTGTGTAAACGAGTCAGTGTCCTTCTGTGGGTTTGGAGATGGAGGGGCAATATAACTGGCAGTGCAGATGGCCTTAAAGAGCTGAGAGAGGCTCCTGGCTGACAGCCAGTAAGGAAATGGGGCCCTCGGCCTTGTGACCGCAAGGAACTGAATTCTGCCAACAACCTGAATGAATTTAGAAGTGGATTAACTGCCAGAGCCTCCAGAAAGGAATGCAGCCCTGCTGACATTCTGATTTCTACCTTGTAAGGCTCTAAACAGAGGACCAGTATGGTGACCTGGACTTCTAATCTGCAGATTTATGAGATAAAGTATGGGTGTTGTCTTTATTGCTAAATTTGTGGTAATTGGTTATGGTTAAGAAGAGAAAACTGATACAAATAATAAATGTCCCTGGCTGCAAAGATTCTAATGGGGGAAAAAGTGAGTAAATGCTCTTATGATGTGAGGAGAAATTTTCCTGAAGAATCACAGTAATAGTTTGATTTTGTTGTTTTCTGTTTTTTTCTTTAAGAGATGGCGTTTTGCTATGTTGCTCAGGCTGGCTTCTAACTCCTGGGCTCAAGCAGTCCTTCTGCCTTAGCCCCGAAAGTAGCTGGGAGTACGGATGCACGCCACCATACCAGGCTTAAACTTCAATTCTTTCAAGTATCACAGAGATATTACCATTTAGAACAATTCCTTAAGTTTCTTTCTATACCAATCCTCATTTTAAGGGCATTTTATGGGATACTCCAAAATGACCAAATCTTTAGGGAGCAGTGTGAAGTGAGTGCCTGGCAATCTCCCTGTGACTTGTGGGCTGCCCTAGGGTAGCAGGAGGCAGCTGATTACCACATATAAATACTTGTCAAAGCTGAGCACATGATCCTAATGCAGAATCTTGCTAAGAATGCAAACTGCCTTTTGCTTCCTTGAGAAAGTTTGCAACACAGCAGCCCTACTCATATTCTGTGTGCCTGCCAATTACTTTTATACATGCGGTCTTCCTTTCAATTCTCGGGAATATGCATTAGAGCAGGATTATTTTTAATAATCCAGAGAGTATATTTAGAGCATAATTTTTTTATTCATTAATAATGATTAAGATACATCTTACAGGTGGCAGAAGAAGGGTAGACGAGGGCTTTGTAAAATATGCTTTGAAAATTTGATGCGAAGAAAATATTCCAAAATATTCTCTCAATTATCAACAGAGGGAGAAGACAAACAACAATTTGGGGGAAAATACTTGTGACTCCTATCACAAAGAAAGAACTTAATTTCTTCCATTTAAAAAGTATTCTTCTAAATCAATAAAAGACCAAGAACCTAATAAGGGGTGAAGGATATTAAAAGATAGATCACAATAAAGGAATGATAAGTGCTTTTGCACTTATGAAAATATTCACTATCACTTATAATAAGAGACTTTCAAATTAAAACTATAAAAAACCATAAAAATGTAATTTATAACTACTGGATTAACAAGTTTAAAACATTTGATGATTTACTGTCAGTAAGTATGAGGTGAATAGCCTCAAACCCTGCCAGGAGCAGTATGTACCAGTTGAAACACTTTGGAGAGCAATTTGGTCATATAGACTCACATTAAAAATAAGCATATCCTTGGGTCAAGTAAATTCATGTCATAATTTTTCCTCTAGATAAACTTGTATATGTGCAAGATAATTTATGTCAAGGGGTATTATTTGGAGCATATTTTGTTCCAAGCAAATGTTTGAAAATAACTTTCATCTTTATTAAGAGTGGGCTAGTTTAAATACATGATGGGAATACTAATGTAATGCTATGCAGCTGTTAAAAAGAATGATCAAAATTGGAACATCTATTTTGGAAAACTGTTTAGCAATGTTCACTAAAGCTAAACATACACCTACCTATTGCATGACCCCAGCTGCTCCTAGGTGTATGAGAAATAAATGCATATATCCACCAAAAGACATGCGCAAGTCTGTTCATTGCAGATTTTTTCAAAATAGCCCTTAACTGGAAACATTCCATATGTCCATCAACAAGAGAATGAATAAATAGTCGTCGATTCATACAATGGAATAATAGACAACAACAAAAAGAATAAGCTGATGGAAACATCAGTTTACACTACAACATGGAAAATCACTCTGACATGTTGAAGGAAAGAAGGAAGATACAAATGTGGTTTCATTTATGTGAAGCTCCAAAACAGGCAAAACTAACTGTAGTGATAGAAGTTAGACTAGAGATTTGCCCTGGGGCATGGAAGACCATTCTAAAGTGATGGAAATATTCTATATCATGATCTGAATGGTGTTTACAAAGGTATATAAATATATAAAATTGGTCATGTGTTACCTTATGATATACTTAAGATTGGTGCACTATATACACTTTCTAATTTAGGTTATACCTCAATGAAAAAGTAAAGAAGGAAAAATAAGAAAAAGGATGAGGAGGAGGAGGAGGAAGGAGGTGGAGGAGGAGGAGGAAGGAGGTGGAGGAGGAGGAGGAGGAAGAAGAGGAGAGCAGCTATATATGTACCCATATAAATAATCTCCAAGCTAGATTGTTAAGTGAAAGTATTTCTCAACTAGAGTTCCTCATTTGAACCACAGCTCACAGAACCATTATTTGTAACTATTTCCTCAATTCTTCTATGGATGGTACATAATTAATATCATTCCTGATGCCTAGAAGAAAAGCCAATTTATTACATACAATGGATGACTTAGAGTATGAGAATTTAATTCTCGCAAGGAACTCTCACTGAGAATGTTTATGTTTGCTACAGTGTGTGGTGTGGGTGTGTGTGTGAGTGTGTGTGTGTGTGTGTGTGTTTTAAGTACGTATTTATTATGAGAATCTAACAGTAGTTGTCTCTGGAGAGGAAACCGGGTAGCTCACTTTTCAGTGTGTGACCTATGTTACAATTTAAATTGTGTACTGCGTGCATGTAAAAACACACAAATTTCTCCCTAAATGATACATTGGGAATGTTAGAGAGGTGAGACATCTAGGAGTAAATACGACAATGCTTCAGTGTAGTTGCACATTAACCATTATGTGTATATTTGTGGTATTCAGTAACAAGAGTGTTTTGAGCTCAATTTTTAAGTCCAAAATGCTGTTTATGTAACTTTGAGTGATCTAAGGAAGAAAAAGCAACGTTTTTGAGGGCATGGTGCATAGTTTAAGACTGGCAAAGTTCTAGAAATTATAGGTGTGGAGAAAACAAGGGAAATGTATCACAGTTATACTTTGTATAACTAAAGTATGGCCAGGTCCCAATTGTATTCTCCTAGTAGGTCCCATCACTTTCCCCATCTAGTCCAATTGTGCTCTGATTGCCTGTGTGATGGCTCACATGAAATAGGTTGCTGATTGAGATAAATAGGGTATGGGAGGTCCAGGAATTTCATTGTTTTGCTGGTAATTTGAAATGTTAAACAGCAAAATATCAAAACAACTTCTCTGTTTTGCCTGTACGTAGAACAAGCTAAAGAAAGCCCAAGAAACTGATACCTGGTGGCAGAAATCATAGGATTTAGTACAGAACAATTTAATGCATACACACAGGCACACATCAGAAGTGGGAGTGGTCTTGTCAAGCAGAGGCAAGTTGCTTGCCAATCTCCAGCCAGCACATCAAACTCTTCATATGCTAAGAGAATTGCCCTAGAATATCCAGATACATTTGTAATAATGCAGATAACAAAAATTACTGCTACAAGTGGTCTGAGATTTATTGACAACATCAATGCACGTGCCAAGTGCTTTATATGCATCATAGTGTTAAATGTCCACAACATCCCATTGAGGTAAATAATGTTGTCATCCTCACTACGAGTGAGGAAACAGAGGCTCACTGGGTTTAAGTAGTGTGCTTAACAGTTAGTGAGTGTGGGGCCTACTTCTTGTCCTCTAAACCATGTCCTTTTTGTCTATTTCATGGCCAATTGTCAGTAGTATGAATTCCTTATATAAAGAGTTATACATGAAGCTTTACATGGAGTCAAAGTCCTTATTTAATTGTGATGTAGGCTTTTCCCACACTCCATTACATTTCTTAATTTGCTAATGTATTTCACTCCATTTCTTGGAATGGGCACATATTTTTCAGTATTGCTTTACAAGTTTGTTTGTGTTTGTTTGTTTGGCTGTGAGGCCCTAAAAAGCAGAGATTTCTTCAGAAAGTTGACAAACAGCATATTCTTTAACATCTTGCAAAGCTCTCCTATGAAGCCCCCTCAAATAAAATTCACTATACAGAGGTTACTACATGTAAAATATCTTCAGAGATACTTCAACAGCATACGATGATTTTTTAAGCAAGTTCTTTGGTTACCAAGGATAAGAAGTTCACCATGACATTTCATTCAGTACTAAAGTATGTTTTATTTTTTTAATGGTCCTCGAATATCATAGAAGAACATCTTGTAGCAACCTTTACGTTGCAATCATACTTTATTGAAACTCCTTGATATATGAGTCTTCCCTACTTAACATATATACCCAAAAAAGAGTACATAAACTTATTTGAAAATTTATTTGAAATATATGAAAAGAAATTAAAATACATTCCTATTTTTCTTTCTCCCATCCCATGTAGAATAATTTCTGTTCACTTGGCTACAAACTAGCTGATGCATTAAGATAAGCTTATTGCTGTGTTGTTGGGCTATCTCAGCAAGCCAGAAAGCAAGGGGTGCATCCAGACCTCCTAAGGGGTTGGAAGCAGGAACTAGATGGCTTTCTGGAACTTCACTTCTTTTCCCAGCTCTAGACGCCAGTGTGCATCCTGTCACACAGCTCTGCACCTGCTTTGTGCTTCTGTCTCTGCCGGGAGGTTTGCTCTGCTCTGCTCAGACTATTTTAGCTACTGTCTGTTAGTCTTAGCTCATTGCCCCAGGAAAACAATCTAATTGGATTAGTTACCATGATTCATTTAGCCATAAACAGGTATGTGATGTCACATGTGCCCTCCCATTCACTGGAGCTATGAGAACCAGGAGGAGAGGCTTAGGTCAAACTCTCCAAGAAAGGGGGTAAGGGCAGTAGTGAGGACATGACTGTGGAGAAACAAGTGGGAATTTGTATTATGGCTTGCCCGTGAGAACCAATATTCTTCCAGAATCTGGCTAGAGACTATTCAGAGAGTATATCTTTCATATTTAGATGTTTCTATAAAGGCTTCTCCTGGGTCAATCCATTTCTGAAAGTTTATAGGACTTAACAGTAGGCTTTGGAAAGGCAACTCAATCAGATGCTGAATTGTACAGTATGAGAGAGGACAAGAACATAGCTTACCTATTAAATGGGTACTTGAGGGCTCTCTCTTGATTAAATTGTGATTTTTTATTATTTTTATTTTTGCCTCAGAAGTTCTGTTCTTAGGCATATTCATAATGTCTGAGGCTGAGGCTTTCCCTGAATGCTTTGGAAATCAGAGATGGAAAACTTAAGTGGATAGTGCTGGCCGTGATCCAATGCACGCTAGTGCAATGCAGAGGGGGAAATTGTCATTTTAAACCACAACTGAACAGAGCAACTTCTGCCTTCCCGTGGAGAACACGGGGGTGGGAATGGGGCATAATTTATTTAATTGGAGGAATAAATCTCTTCACTGTTCCTTTCTCTTGCAGAAAGAGATGGAGTAGGAAGCAAGAGTGACCCTCAGATTTAGATGGCATTTGGTTTAGCAGAATACATTAGTGGGACTTTGGATTTAAAAAGAGTCTATGCACTGAGTATGGTGTATGGAGATTTAGCAGAGCTAAACTGAATTATTTTGCATAAGAAAATGAAAGGTATTTAAAGTTTTTGCTACTGTGAGAGAAGAGGCAGATAAGAAAATAGAGGGAAACAGGGAGAGAGGAAAGCTCTGGAACACAGGAAAGAGTCATAGAGCTTTTTAAATTAGGGGTTTTCAATATTCTAAGTTATTTGGCTACAATGTAAATCCCACTCATTGCTGCAAACATCAGTCAAGTCAGTGTAACCGACTTGAAGGAGTATTTTTATTTGCTAGTATATGTTTGGTGGGGAGTGTATTTCATTGTGTATGTAAATCATGGAAGGAGACTGGATTTCAAATCTTGTTTTGAGTGGTAGAGAATAGGGAAATAATATGAAGCACAGTTAGACAATTCACTAATGAAACTAACAGAAAAAGCAGGAGCTAATAGTCATAGGTGATTTGGAAATCTTTTAAATCCTCACTATTGCTTTTTGCAGCAATTTCTACATTGCAAAGAAGGCCACGCCAATATATAACCCCTATCCCATATGCTCTTTTTCCAATGTGAAGTTGACACATTGCCATCAAGAAATAGAGTCTATGTTCCTTCCCACATTTTTTTTAACGTTTATTTTAAGTTCAGGGGTATATGTGCAGGTTTGTAATGTAGGTAAACTTGTGTCATAGGGGTTTGTTATATAGATTATTTCATTTTTAACAAACAACATCTTTTCTTAAAAAACTTTAAGTTCAAGGGTTTTTTATATAGGTCAACTTGTGTCATAGGGGTTTGTGGTATAGATTATTTTGCCATCCAGGTATTAAGCCTAGTACTCATTGGTTACTTTTCCTGATCCTCTGCCTCCTCCCACCCTCCACTTCTGATAGGCCCCAGTGTCTGTTTGAACCTTGTAGATCTTTGTAAGAGCCTTGACCAATAGAATGGGGTATAAGTGAGGCTGCATGGTTTCTGAGGCTCGGTCAAAAAGGTAACATGGCTTCTGTCTGGCTCTTTCTTGCTTCCTCTCACGATGCCTGCTCTTCGAACAGTGCCACCCCTACGTGAGGAAGTCCATGCAACATGGAAAGGCCACGTGTTTGTATTCTGACCAGCAGCCCCAGATGGGCACCCAGCCAGCATTAACCACTAAAAATGTGGGCAAGCAAAAGCCTTCTGACGATTCTAGTTCCCAGTCTTGGAGTTTTGCAGCTGAGAGCCCATACATCAGGCAGCACAGGCAGGCCATCTCTACTGTATCCTGACTGAATTCCTGACTCAAGACAAACTGTGGGAAATGGTAAATAATTATTGCTTTAAGCCTCCACAGTTTAGGATAATTTGTTATGCTACATTAAATAAATAATACATCCTCACTTCCAGGATCTTTGGAAAAAATAACAACTTTGTGATGAAATTTGGACTAATTCTATTTAAAGCTTAAAGACTTGGGTCATATCTGTTTTCATGGCACTTTTTAGATTTCAAGTACTATTCTTTGTACTTCAAGGGTTCTTTAGCCTGAAAGACAAAGGCTATCGGGGCCAAGGGGAGGTGGGGAAGAAATTGGTTCATCTTTCAGGAATAAAAAGTCAAACTTCAAGGATAGCCAATGAGAAAACAAGTGGCTTGACACACTGATTCAGCTATTTACTAACCATGTGATTAAAAATTTACTCTGGTTTTTGCCTCAGTTTCTTCATTTGTAAAATGAGGCTAATTATGTTTATAATGATAAGGATTTACAGAGAAAATGTATGTAAAGTGTTTAGCTTTGTGTCTGGTACAAAATAAACATTCTAGAAATGTCATTAATAATATGCTTAGCATAGCACCTAATACTAGCTAATGGCTTAATAAATGGTAGCTGTGATTATTGTAGTACTCCAAATATTTACTGTAACATATTAACCTGTATCACTAAATTCCACGTTCTCATTTCCCTGGCTAATCCACATGTTCCTGGAATATCCACATGTAGAGTACAAAAAGTTCTGCAGTATATGGAACTGGCAGCTTATCAGTGTGACTAATAAATTCATCATAAAATTGAACCCATTCAAAATGTCCTAACCTAAAGCACTTTGTTAGTTATCCGCCTTAAAAGGCATTGATTCATCTCTGCATGTGTTGGAGTATAAATGGCAAGCCTCAGAGATGTGATCATATATTCTGCCAAACTTGGAACAAATTCATAACTTGGAGAATCTGTGTTTCAAATTAGACTCTTACATTTTGGGTATTTAATTTCATTTATACTTAACTATAGGAAACGTTTGACTCTTCTGTGAAATAGAGCTGAAAATAGATTCTCTGGGCATCTGATAGTTCTAAATTAACTCTAAATATAATATTTTGATGAGTAAAACAGAGAAAAACCAGAAATTTCCCATAAAATACACAATAAGTAGAAAACTCAAGTAAGTGGGTATAGAACAACAAAGAACCACATGGCTTTTCTTTTTTTTTTCTTTTTTTTTTGACAGTCTCGCTCTGTCATCCAGGCTGGAAGGCACTGGCATGATCTCAGCTCACTGCAACTTCTGCCTCCTGGGTTCAAGCAATTCTCATGCCTCAGTCTCCCGAGTAGCTGTGATTACAGTCATATGGCACCAAACCCGGCTAATTTTTGTATTTAAACGAGACAAGGTTTCGCTATGTTGGCCAGGCTGGTCTCAAACTCCTGGCCTCAAGTAATCCACCTGCCTCAGCCTCCCAAAATTCTGGGATTACAGGTGTGAGTCACTGTGCCTGGCCCCACACGACATTTTTTAGCAGACTTTTTTCAGGCTCTGGGTGAACTCATGGTAAGAATGTTTCATTGTTCCACAGTATCAGAAAGAAGCAACCCTCCAGACTATAGGTGACACTCTCAACAGACTTATCAACTACATAGTCACAGTATCTCTCCTTAAAATCCCTATGCAGATTCTTGTCATGAGAAAAGGAGCAAAGGAGCAGGGATCATGTACTAACTCCCTGAGGTAATTTGTGTTGTGTATAAATTCCTGCTTTAGCAGATTTTGTAACTTGAAATTTTGATTTCCTTAAATGGTTAAAAATCTTCCTAAGATTACCTAGTATATTCTATATGTTGGGGAAAAGATACACTAGGAGATTATTTGGCTCAAGTATTCAATTCAAATTGTCAGTTATGCTTAACTTTATCACCCAGGTGGACTGCAACGAAATGAAAGTTAGTTAAGATATCTGTGGGGAACAACTTTGCATTATTTCTGATCTCAAGGAGGAAACAATCAGCCTTCCAACATTTAAGCATGATATCAACTGTAGTTGTTTCATTTTGTTCTGTTTTATTGATGTCCCTTCTCCATCTGAGGAAGTTTCCTACTATTCCTAGTTTGGTGAACATGTTTTAGCTTGAATGAGTGATGAATTTTGTCAGGCATACAAACGTCTACTAACGTAATCATGTGGTTTTTCTCCTTCATTCTATTAATATAACCTCCTGAGAAATTTGCCAATTTTGTTTTGTAAATATCTGTCTGCCTTTAGATAGAGACTCTGTCTTACTCACCTTTTATCCCTAAACCTGGCGTGTTTAAATGAATGAATAATGAGTGTTAAATGAATGAATAAATGACCCTATGCATATAGAAAATCTGTGGCCTTATATTTCTGTTTACTAATTATAAGACCTTCCTACACAAGTAGTGATAACCTCAGTAATCTGCATGACAAACATAAGTTTGGGATAAGACTTTAAAAAATTTTGCTTTTCATTTAATCACATAAAGTTCAGTTGATATATATGTGGGGTAGAGGGGGTGGACAGTTCAGCAAGAAGAGGACTCTGCTCCACAAATAATCTGGGAATTCAAGCTGATAGAAGGTTTGCTATTTTCTACTTGGGGCTTTTGATGTTATCCTCAGCAAGAAAATATAGCTAAGCAATGGACTTACAGGAGGTATAAAGGATATTGGATTTTTTTTTAAGGCTAGGCCCATAGGTGGTATGTTTAGTTTTGTCCATATTTTACTGGCCAGAATTCTGTGGGTATGCCTGTGTAGATGCAAGGAAAGCTGGGAATGTAGTCCTAACTGGGCAGCTCTTTTCCTGTAGAAATACAGTAAAGAAAAGAAGCATGAATCTTTGGTGGGCAGCTAGTTATCTTTGCCTCATATGGGGGAAAAAGAAGCAATATTTATTAGGAACTCATTTAAGGTCAGGAAGTGGGCTACATGTATGCTACACTTTCTTTGATTTGTTATAATGCACGTTTCTCAAACTATGTCCAGCAGAGCATTACTGTTTTACACTATTGATAGTTTTTGAGAAGTAGGTTAGCATGGCCAAAGATGTTGAAGAAATATTATTTCAAACATATTTTAACAAGTTTATTTTTCTTCGGGACTTCTCAAGGTCCTTAGTATATTAATATGCATTTTTGACTCTCCAAGAATGAACAGAATGTAAGGCATTTCCAAACCTTATTTGGCTGCAAATTACCTAGAGCACTATAGGACTCAGTTTGAGAGATTTTAGGAATATGGATATTTAAAAACAGCATTTAATTAAAAAGTTATACTTTTCAAGGTTCCCAATCATCACTCATTTCACTTATTTTTATAAAGAAAGTATGATGATTCTATCTGGGAAAGAAATTACTTTCTACAAAGTCAGGCTGGGTGTGCTTGAGCAGGGGGGAGCTGCTCTAGCCAAGGGAAGGCTTATGTTCCCAGGGCTCCTGTGGTGCCATCCTTAGGCCTGGAGTTATACAGTCATTGACTATCTTGCCTAGGGAGAACATTAAAGATGTGTATGAACTGCAGCCCAGAATCTATATCCTGTTTTGCCTGGAGAGAAAGAAGAGGAAGTCTTCCAAGCGCCAATCCATCACTAGCAACCCTGTTTCATTTCTTCCTTTAGCATAGATTCTTTGGACCACAAAATATCCATCATGCTTTCTTCATTAAGGGAAGCATGGCTTTGTTAAACGTAGAGATATTCTACTCAGACATGATTCATTTCTATTTTAAAATGGCTATTCTTTTTTTTTGAGATGGAGTCTCCTTCTGTCATCCAGGCTGGAGTGCAGTGGTATGATCTGGGCTCACTGCAACCTCCACCTCCTGGGTTCAAGCAATTCTCCTGCCTCAGCCTCCTGAGTAGCTGGGAGTACAGGCGCATGCCACCATGCCGGACTAATTTTTTGTATTTTTAGTAGAGTCGGGGTTTCACCATGTTAGCCAGGATGGTCTTGATCTCCTGGCCTCATGATCTGCCTGCCTCGGCCTCCCAAAGTGCTGGGATTACAGGCATGAACCTCTGTGCCTGGCCCAAAATGACTATTCTTATTTGAAGCTTTGGAAGCTACTGTTGGTAAAAATATGTGCATACTTTGGTAACTCCAGAAATTATATATATGAGTGGTTTAGGAGTGGTGAGTTCATGGAAGGGATAAGAAAGGGGACATGAAGCTGTATATAGTTAGTATGTTTTATTAGATTGGGGGAAATATCAATTATCCATAGCAGTGAATAAAAATGGCATGGAGGAAAGGATGAGAAAGGCAACAATGGGGCAGGAGCAAGACTTGAATCTCTTTCCTGCCTTCCTGAGTCCCCATAGTTCATATATACAAACTGTAGCAAGGAGATGGATAGGGAGAGGGAAGAGGGTTGCAGAGAGAGTATGAAAACAAGAGCAGGATCTGGAAAGAAAAATGAAGAGAGGTCACTCTCTTTTTATCACGTAGTGTGGAGCAGGAAAAGGCTTTAAAGGCCACATTGTCCGATTTCCTCAAAAGCAGCCTCTTTCATTGATATTCATTCAGCTCCTGATCATTTGCTTCCAAAGACAGGGAACTTAGACAGTTCTCAAAGTAGCTCATTCAATTTTTAAACAACTCTAATTGCTAGAGGGTTTGAGTGAGTTCTCACAAGATCCAATGGTTTTATAAGGGGCTCTTCCCACTTTGTGCCTCACTCATCTCCCTTTTGCCGCCTTGTGAAGAAGGTGCTTGCTTCCCTTTCCTCTAGGATTGTAACTTTCATGAGGCCTCCCAGCCATGTGGAGCTGTGAGTCAATTAAACTTCTTTCCTTTATAAATTACCCAGTCTCAGGCTGTTCTTTATAGCAGCGTGAGAACAGACTAATACAGTGTTCTTATATTAGTTAAAATATCCCACAGTGCCTAGTTCTGTCTCTCTCCTGACCTCCAGAAAGATGTCCAAAAGTCTTCAACAGGACTCTCTTAAATATTTAAATAGAGTAAGCATGGATATACTATTATTTTTCTTTTTCTTCTCCAAATATGACCAAGCCTGTCACATGTTTCTCAGATATAAAGATTTGAGAAGCCTTTCCCACTCTTGTCACTTTCCTCTGGATATGTCAGGTATTCAATGTCCTTAAAATTTAGCATGAAATAAATATGGTAAATGTACAATTTGTAATGAATGCTGTTGCATCTAAAGACAGCACTTTCAGGGAATTAGGATCTTTTGAGATTTATCAATGTTAATCTTCCTTGGGGAAGTTAAATGATCAGAATTTTGTATATTGGGGTAGGAATTTTGTATATCGAAGTGGCAGCTGTTTTTCTGTACAACAACAGTAAAGAAGGGCATGAATCTTTGGTGGGCAGATTATTTTTGCCTTGGAAGGGAAAAGAAAGTTATATTTATTAAGTACCTATTTAAGGTCAGGTACTAGGCTACATGTATGCTACCCTTCTTAAACTATGTCCAGCAGAGCAATGATGTCTTACACTGTTGATGGTCTTTGAGAAAAAGGTTGGCATGACCAAATAAATTGAAAAAAGGAACCAGCAGTAGCCACTAGAACTCTTAACTTAGGAAATGTCTCTGTCCTATATTCTCAGCCCTGCTGGATACCCCTCCCTGTGCTTCCTCCCACATCCCAACAGGTTGTATTCTCTGCTCAAGGTCCCCACAACCACTTCTCATCTGACACTGGAATTTCCCAGTGATCTCAGTAGGGAAACATTCTGAAGCCACACACACTTCAGCTCCAATGCCCAGTAGTTTGAAAGAGAGAGAGAAATATTGTTTAAAATTAAAACTAACCACTGGATAATTCTTCCTTCCAATTGTTATTCCTAACAATGAGAAAGTAAACCATCTTATTGTTCTTTTGCTCCAGGCTTTGTGGGTTGCGAAGAAAACTACAGTAAATGCATCTTTGAAATCCAAAAGCAAGCCCATGATAGAGTTGGGGATAAGTACTGGAGAAAGTTCAGTTATAATGGATGAGAGTTGGAGATATTCATAACTGACACTCATTGGCATTATTATTTTTGCCACAGAAGGTGGAAACAAGTATTGGAGAAAGAAAAGAAAGGAGGGCTTGAAAAAAAAAGGTGAAGAAATCAGGCATGTAGTTAAAGCCGTAATTTCCAAATGCGTTTTTTTATTCTGCATGTTAATCAGTAAAATATTTTTGAGGATGTTCTTCAAATATATGTATATTTCTTTTAAAATTCTGTAAATATACTTATTGATCTGATATTGGTAAAGCTTAATTTCTTATTTTTTACATTAAAAATAAATATCAGGCCAGGCATCGTGGCTCATGCCTGTAATCCCAGTACTTTGAAAGACTGAGGCTGGCGGATTGCTTGAGGCCAGGAGTTTGAGACCAGCCTAGGCAACATTGTGAGACCATGTCTCTACAGAAATAAAAAGAATTAGCTGGCCAGGGTGGTGCACACCTGTGGCCCCAGCTACTTTGGAAGCTGGGAGGATTGTTTGAGCCCAGGAGGGGGAGTCTGCTGTAAACCATGATTGCCACTACCCTCCACCCTGGGTAACAAAGCAAGACCCTATCTCAACAACAACAACAAGAAAAATCAAAAGAAAAGAGAAAAGAAAAGAAACATCAGCAAAAGTTCTAATATTGTGTTCTTGAGCCCAGTGGATTGTAATGCAACCCCTCATGGTGTATTCACTTTACTTTTGTAGGTTCAATGGGCCAAAATGGCCAAAATATTTATGATCAAAAATGTCTAACATAAATTGTTTGCATTTCTGGTATAGGAAATCTTCCTGTATTCTCAATATCTTCATTAAATCTCTCATACATACAAATATTTTGGACGAAGTGTTGGCGTGTGTGTGTTTGTATTTGTGTGCATATATATGTGGAAATTAGGGAGAGAAACTGAGCTGTGTCTCTGCTGACACTGTGTGATGTAGAAACAAAACACACATGGAACAATGAGAAATCCATAAAAATGAAAATTCAAGCCAGAGCATGAAGTCAGAACTGACTGGGAAGAACATAATTCAGTCTCACATGCACCCAGAATTCCTGGAAAAGCCAGGGAGACAGCCAGGCGTTCACTTCACATGGAATGGAATTTGAATGAATTTGATTTGAATCTCAAAGGACAGGCATCATAGGTAATATCTGGGCTACACAATCACATTTCAAAATTACACACATGGTGATGGTTAATTTTATGTGTCAACTTGACTGGGCAATGGGGCACCAGATATTTGGTCAAACATTTTGAGTGGTTTCTGTGAGAATGTTTTTGTATGAGATTAGCATTTAAATCCATGGACTGACTAAAGCAGATTGCCTTCCCTAATGTGGGTGGGCCTCATCCCATCAGTTGAAAGCCTAAAAATAACAAAAAGCTGACCATCCCCTGATTAAGAGCAAATTCTTCTGCCTAATAGTCTTTGAACTGGAGCATCAGCTCTTCCCGCCTGACATGAGCTCTTCGTGGCTCTACAGCAGCTTCCGGCCTTCAGACTCCAAGTGGGACACTGGCTGGGCAGATTTTGGACTTGCCCACCTCCATAACTGTGTGAGCCTATTCCTTATTCTAAATCCCTTTTTGTGTGTATATAAATACGTATATACACATATGTGTGTGTTCATGTATATACACATATATGTGTATGCCTGTGTATGCATGTGTGTGTGTGTAATATATTGTTTCTGTTTCTCTAGGGAAGCATCATACACATACCCAATTGCAGCTTTTTTTCTTTCTCTTGACAAATTTCAGAAAAAGATGTTATCAAACACATTGTGCAAAAAATTGACTTTGTTTTCTCAAACTACCACATTTAATGATGCATGCGGAAGTTTCCACTTAAACATATTTTTAATGTGTATTATTCCACCTAAATAGAGGCAGAGTAAAGGTCTACATTCATGTTTTTTCTTCAGAATAAAAATTATTAGTGCCGCATGTACATTTTATGATAGACTTATCTTTGACAAATTCCTAGCTTGATTTTCTTAAGCCCATATTTTATCAGAGAAGCTTGGTGGCTCTAGGCAGGGATATGCCACTGTTTGCTCTTATTTATTCATTTAATAACTGGTCTATAGTTTCTCTACCATGGGTAAAGCATATAGACCCCCATGGTTGCTCTCATTGTACTTTCAGTACAGCTGTAGATTCTCTTTCTAACCTTGAGGAGGACTCTATTAATAATATGAGATTATTAGCAGCTTTTATTGACCCTCTCTTTGTCATTAATCTTTTGGCAAGAAATAGTCTTGAGCCAAACCATATGAGCTCACATGAAATTACTCAGAGAAAAAATAGGCAAATAACTATAAGATCTTAGGGCTATAGGCAATGGAAGAGCTTCCTTGTAATGACATAAAACTCAAAACACATAAAGGACAAGATTTGTAGATTTGACATGAATAAAATAAATTTATGTAGAGGAGAAAATACAAACAAAATTGAAAGGCAAATTGCACCCTAGATACACAACTTGCAACATATATTACAGCCATCAAGTAGTTTTCTTTATATAGAAAGAACAATTATGAGCAAATAATAAAATAAAGACTATGTTGATAGAAAAAGGAGCAAAGACCATAGTTAATTCAAAATCAGAACTACAAATAATCAATACACATGAAAAGTTTTGAATTTTTCTTGTAAAGATATACACATATCAGATTTTTTTGAACTGACAAAAATAAAAGAGAAGTATAAAATCCAGGACATCCTAAATACATGAAAAACAAGAACTCCCATACCCTACTGGTGAGTCTTTAAGTCTGACTAAACTTTCTGGAGGAATCTTCACCCTATACTTCAAAAACCTTAACTTTTTTTTTTTTTTTTTTTTTTTTTTTTTTTTTTGTATTCATCTTGGTACTGCAATTCCTCTTCTAGAGATTTGTCTTAGGAAAATAATCAGAAAAAGTATACATAGGTATTTGTTCAGGAATGTTTACCTACTGGGCACAGTGGCTCACACCTGTAATCCCAGCATTTTGAGAGGCCAAGGTGGAAGGTTCACTTGAGTCCAGGACTTCAGGACCAACCTGAGCAGCAGAATGATATCCTTTCTCAAAAATAAGCATAATTTTAAAAGGTTTCGCCTATCCATGTTTAAAATTATAACAAGCTGGAAACAAATTAAATGCAGAATATAGAAAGTAACTAAATGATTTATGGTAGAGCCATATATTGAAACACAAGGTTGTCATTAAAATGAGGATCTAGTTATTCCATTGCATGGGAAGTTATTTAGGATATATTGTTGAGTACAAATGACACTTGAACAACACAGGTTTAAATTGTATAGCTCCACTTATGCGCCTATTTTTGTTCAACGAAATGAGGATTGAAAATACAGTATACAATATTCATGGGATGCAAAACCACATATACAGAGGGCCAACTTTTCATATATGTGGGTTCAGCAGGGCCAACTGTGGGACTTAAATATGCACATATTTTGGAATATGTGCAGGGTGGGAGAGGGTCCTGCAACCAATCCCCGAGTATACTGAAAGAGGACTGTAATAGAAGATTAAACTGTTTATAGCAATTGTTTATTGCTTTTGTAATTGACAAATGAACATTATATATTTTTGGAGTGGAACATGATGTTTTGATATATGTATGCACTGTGGAATCATTAAATCAAACTAATTAATGTATCTATTATCTCACATTCTTACCACTTTTTTGTGGTGAGAAAATGTAAAATCTGCTCAGCAATTTTCAAGTATACAATGCATTGTTATTAACAATAATCACCACATTGTACAAGAGATTCCTTGAACTTATTCCTCCTAATTGGAATTTTATATCCTTTGACCAACATCTCCCCAGTCCTCACCACCATCTTCCCCCAGTAACCATCAATCAACTCTCCGCTTCTGTAAGTCTGATTTTTTTTTAGATTTTGACAACATTTGTGAGAAACATGACCTCATTTTGACACAAACTTTTTTTGTTTGTTTTTTGAGACAGGGTCTCACTCTGTCACCCAGGCTGGAGTGCAGTGGTGACATGTCAGCTCACTGTGGCCTCAACCTCCTAGGCCCAACGATCTTCCCTTCTCAGCCTCCCGAGTAGCTGGGACTATAGGTGTGTGCCACCATGCCCACCTGGCTAATTTTTGTAGAGACAGGGTTTCTCTGTGTTGCCCAGGCTAGTCTCAAACTCCTGGGCTCAAGCAATCTTCCTGCCTCCGCCTCCCAAAGTGTTGGGATTACAGGCATGAGCCATGGCACCCTGTGACTTAAATTAAATGTGCTGTTTATTCATTCTTTTAGATATACTACCATTATCTTTGTATTAATCATTTAAAAAACTGTCTAATTGGGCTATGTTTCGAACTGCCTCTTTTATTGAGTTTGCCAGGTCTGGGACTCTGTTATCTGACTTTTAAAATGAGGATAAAATAGTTCCCACTTCAAAGGATTGTTATAGGCATTAAATGAGAAAAGTCCCTAGAATTACCTGGAACAAAGGAAACACTATATAGTTATAAACTATCATCAGTGTTGTTATTATCACATAAATAATTTGCTTTAGACCTAGGTGTGAAGAAACTATCTGTTTCTCTGGAAGAACAAATATATTAGAATATGTATATTTTGACAGGCTGACAATAAGAAATTCACATATAATTGATAGCTTAGAGCCAATTTTATAGCCGAGGTTTTATAATGATATAAGCTCTTGTAGTCTGCATGAATGCATATTAACCTACCACACTGTCAGTCTCATTCTACTAGTCAACTTTTTTTATTTTCAAATTTGTGTTGTCTTATTTAGACTCTGATACACTGCCTTAAATAGCCTGTATAGAATGACACAGGACATAGTTAAGAACAAATTAACCCAACTTAATAAAATGATTGGAAGAGGTTTAATATATGTTTTGTTATCAACATATTAAAAGAAAATAATTGTAAAGATTGTGTAGCTTAAACTTGGATGCACAATAAAAAATATATGGTTTGATTTCTTACAAAAGGACATGGTTTTAACAAGCCAAATAACAACTAGGATTTTCCTTTTACAGGACCCATGTGCAAAAAGAGTGAAGCAGTTTTCTCAAGACGCTTTGCTTTTATAAATAGTATCTATCATACTTTCAAAAAGAAAAATGGCTAGATGCGACAGAATGTGTAGAAAAAAATGATTTTGGCAATCTTTGAGCATCCAAAAATAACAGAAAGAAGAGAGAAGAAAAGACAGAGAGATGAGAAAATAGAAAGAAATTGGTTGAATTAAATGAACAAACAAAATTTATTTCTGCTGGTGATTCAACCATGACTTAGCTTTATGTGTGTCATTTAAAATGTGGCTGGCACTTGGTTAAATTGGCACATATTAAAGCCACATCAGGATGGGAAAATTTTTTTCTGATGACGTTTCTTTTTATTTGGTGGAACTTTGTTATTTCTAGTTTTTCTGGCTTTTGGAAGTTGAACATCACTATGCAAAGGATACAGATGGGCCTTTGGAAGGAATAGGGGACATGTCGTACTAATTAAAAATTATAACCAGGCATGACAAATGACAGAACTCTCCACAAGTCACCCAGTAAACTAGGTGCTGTAAATTCAAATGAAACATGGGCATTTCCCAACCGTATTGCCTTTTTTACATTTTGACAATTGTTAGGTTTTAGGAACTGTGTAAGTCAGGCTTCTCAAGAGAAACAGAACCAATAGGATATATATAGATATATAAGAGGAGATTTATTATGCAAATTGGCTTATGTGATTACGGAGGCTGAGAAGTCCCACAACACGCCATCTGCAAGCTGGAGAACGAGGAAAGCTAGCAGTGTAATTTAGTATGAGTCTGAAGGGGGAGGGGAGGAGTGATAAGGTGTGAGTCCTGGAGTCCAAAGGCCTGGGATCCAGGAGCTCCAATAACCGAAGGCAGGAGAAGATAATTGTCTCAGTTCAAGAAGAGAGAGAATTCACCCTTCCTCTGCCTTTTTCTTCTATTCAGGCTCTCAACAGATTGGATCATGTACACCCACATTGGTGAGGGTGGGCCTTCTTTACTCAGTCTACTGATTCAAATGGTAATCTATTCTGGAACACAGTCACAAACACACTCAGAGATAATGCTTTACCAGCTAACTGGGCAGACTTTAGCCCAGTTAAGTTGACATATAAAATTAACCATCACAGGAGCCCTCCTCACTCCCTAGCATAATGCTTTACGCTCAATGAATGCTAAGTAAAGTTGATGGCACATATCTACTGTAAAAAATTTCTGGCTGGGCACAGTGGCTCATGTCTGTAATTCCAGCACTTTGGGAGGCCAAGGCAGGAAGATACCTTGAAGCCAGGGGTTCAGGACTAGCGTGAGTAACAAAGCAAGCCCCTGTCTTTATAAAAAAAAATTATAGCCAGGTGTGGTGGCATATGCCTGTAGTCCCCCAGCTACTCGAGAGGCTGAGGTGGGAGTACCACTGGAGCCAAGAGGAGAAGGCTGCAGTGAGCTATGCCCATGCTTAGTCTGGGCAACACAGCAAGACCCTATGAGAAGAAATAAAGTTAATGCAGTGTTTTCATTCAGAATTCAATATAAAAGTTCAATTGAATTTAAAACAATGAGATACAACTAAACATCTGTTACAATGCCAAAATCTAAAACACTGACAACATCAAATGCTGGCAAGGATGTCAAACAACAAGAACTCTCATTCATTGCTGTTCAGAATGCAAATGCTGCAGTCATTTGGGAAGACAGTTTGACAGTTTCTTACAAAACTAAACATACTTTTGCTATACAGTCCAGCAAATGGGCTTCTTGGTATTTACCCAAAGGAGTTAAAAACTTGTGTCTCCATAAGAACCTGCACAAGGATGTTCATATTAACAGCACTTTACTCATAATTGCCAAAACTTGGAAACAACCAAGACCTCCATCAGTATGTACGCAGGTAAATAAACTATGGTATATCCAGACAATGGAATATTATCCCGTGTTAATAAGAAATTAGTTCTTCAACCATGAAAAGACGCGAAGGAAACTTGCATGCATATTAATAAGTGAAAGAAGCCAATCTGAAGTGAGTACATACAATATGATTTCAACTACATGACATTCTGGAGAAGGCAAAACTATGGAAACAATAAAAAAAATCAGTGGTTGCCAGGGGTTTGGTAAGAGGTGAGAGGGATGAATAGGTGAGTACAGAGGATGTTTAGGACTGTGAAAATACTCTGTATTAAGCTATCATGATGGATATATGCCATTACACATTTGTCTATATCCGTAGAATGTGCAGCACCAGGAGTGAACCCTAATGTAAACGATGGCCTTTTGGTGACAATGATGTGTCAGTGTAGGTTCATCAATTGTAACAAATGTATCACTGGGCTGGTTGTTTTGGGTCACAGAGGCCGTTTTGCATATATGGGGGTCAGGGGATATGTGAAAAATCCCTGTAACTGCCTCTTCATTTTGCTGTGAATTTAAAGCTGCTCTAAAAAAAAAAAAAAAAGAAAAAAAGCCGGAAAAATGTGATGTGAATAAATTGTTTTGGTCTTAAAACAGTTAACCAGTTTAAGTATCTTTGATTCAAGTAGCATTATAATGACTTATACGAAGGGACATTGATATTCTTCCATATTGTGTTTCTATTTTGCTTTCTTTTAGTCTTTCTGCTTCATACAAATAAATGGGGAAGCAAAGATGGATCATTATCAGATGCAAACACAAGAATAAATAAAATGAAAATGTCAGCGGCTAGGGAGTGGACTGGCTGCCTCAGGTGTATATTCTGCTCCAGACTGTGATTCCTGTAGGAAACTTCAAGATGATTTTGCTGACTCTGCTTTACAAGGAAGGACTGCAAAGCAGAATGTAGTGGAAACTTGGCCATCATTTGGCAAACTCAAGCTAGGTAGACAATCAATCTGAATTATTCTGAACCACTTCCCTTAACATCAAAAGTTTTCCACAGTTGCTTGAAATATTCTTTGAATTTTGGTCTCACATCACCCTAATAGTCTAGGACTTCTTTTAAAGAAAGATACTTAATTTGTCTAAACTATATGAGAGATAAATTCCTTTTACTATTCTTATTAATATTCAAATCAAATAATTTATATCTTTAATTCTGAAATCCAGTCATTTTGCATTTTTGTTTAAGAACCTATTCATGTATAATTACTTTGAAGTAAATTGTTTTCGTAAAAGTTAGCTAATCTTTCTAGGGTTAAATAGGTCAAAAGTAATCAAATAGGTCAAAAGTATATAAAAGACAGATATAGCCTACATTTTAAAATCAATGGAAAGCAGAATAGAAAGCAGAAATATGCATTTATTAATACTCAAGCATAGCTGAGCAACCATTTTATGAGGTATGTGCTTTCATTATTCCCATTGTGCAGATAGAAGCACTGAGGCAAAGCCAGGTCTTTGAACAGCAAAGCCTGAATTCTTAACCACTGTATTAGTCTCATATTGCTGCTGTAACAAATTAACACAAACTTAAAACCATACAAATTTGTATCTTACAATTCTAGAGGTCAGAAGTCTGAAATGGTTTTTATTGGGCTAAAACCAAGCTGTCAGCAGCCTGCATGCCTTCTGGAGGCTCTATGGAAGAGCCTTTTTTAGCTTCTAAAAGTCAACTGCATTACTTGGCTGGTGACTCCTTCCTCCCGAGCAGTACAGTAGCTTCAAATTTCTCAGTCTCTCTTTCCTTTTGTCTCTTGCCTCTCGCCTCTAGCTCCTGTCCTCACACCTCCTGCTCTGACTCTTTTGCCTCCTTCTTTCATCTTTTAAGGACCCTCGTGATCATATTGGGCCCAGCCATGATAATCTGTCTCAAAATTCTTAGCTTTACCAGATGTACAAAGTCCCTTTGCCATGTAAGATAACATACTCACAGGTTCTGGTGATTAGAATGTGAATATCTTTAGGGGATCATTATTCTACCTATCACAACCACTATATTAATTGGCATCCCAAAGTCTCTAAGCCGAGAAGGCAGAATTAAGGCAAGTCTAAGGTCATCTGCTTACTCGTGTAATTCTTATTTGCATCATATTATGAGACAGAGATTACAAGGTTAGTCACAGCAAAAGAAAAATATCTTGAAAAAATGCCTGCTTGAAGCCTACAACAGTATCATAGTCTAGCTCAGTGAATATTTGGCAATGAATGAGTAAGTGCTAATAGATAACTCATTTGACTTAGTCAATCAAACACTGATAATATAATGACCACTATAATTGCCTAATATTTTGGTCAGACCTATAGGTAATACAAAAGGGTCTGCAGCATTTTCACTGTTCTCAAGAAGCTTAAAATCACATTGCAGAGACAATGTTACCTTGCATGAAACCATTAAACAAATGAACAAATGCAAACTGGTAAATAAGAACCAAACTGTATTTAAGGGCTTGCTGTCCCTGATGTAAAATTTGATAATAAAAGGAAAATCTGAAGAACCAATGGGGCCCATACTGCTAAGAGGAATAGTGGAGTCTTGGGAATGACAAGGTTCACTAAAGAGACAAGAAAACGCAAGCGCAGTGTCTACTAAGATAGATAGATAGATAGATAGATAGATAGATAGATAGATAGATAGATATTTCAAAAAACATCACTGGTAGCAAATACACATAGACTGTGGGACAGATTAGAGATGAAAACTGAGATTCATCAATTTATCCATTCAATAAATATTTGTTTATTTAGTACCCATTAAGTTCCAGGCACTATGCAAGTGTCAGAGAAAAAAATTTAAAAGCTTACAGCTTGTCCTTATAGTGTGGCATTTTATTTTCTTGCATTTGCATTTTTTGCTTACACTCCAAAATTATGATGGAGGAATACTAGTCCAATTGTTATCCTCTAAGGAGTATTAGTACATTTAGGTTTATGGCTATATATATTAGAATCTAGAGAAGAAGAAAAATTTGGAGCAAGAGCACAGACCTTACAAGTATCATGTTCTGCATGATTTGTCTTCCCTTGATTTTATGGAGTTCATCACTTAAATATATACTTTCTTTTACTAAATATAAAGCTGATAATATTGCTGGATCTCTTAGAGTGTCTGCAGCTAAACTGGGAAGGCCAGCAGGGCAGAGGTGCTAGGCTGCAGAGTCTCAGATGTCAAATGAGTACAAAATTGTGCCAGTTTCATCTTCAAATGAAATGAGCCCGCTAAACAAGATAATTGAAATGAGAGAGCTGGTAGCGGCCTCAATGAGTCAGAATAGCCTTCCAACCATTAAGGCCCTGATGAGGATGGGATTTTCAGTCTCCTTAGAAAAATCGGTTTTCTCAGAAAAGGGGAAGTAATAGCATGAGGTAGATTTTAGGCAATTCAATAGAACACATTTATGGAAGAAGGAAAGTAGAGTTTAGGTAAGGGGAGAACAAAGAAATGTATAAAAGTGCAGTAAGTGAAAACTGATAAGAAAACCCACCAAATCTGTAAGAAACAGAGAAATTATTCATTTTGTAGCTCTCAGACATAGTTATTATTGGGGACTTTACACTAAGCACAGATTACTGGGAATGAATTAGATAGTTATTCAGTTTTTTCCCTAAATTTAATGACTTAACTTGGATATTTTGACCTGTTATAATAATAGTTGTTATTTGAACAACTTACTATCTTATTTTTAGCAAAGCTGAATTTTGAAAGGCAGGTCAAATTTAATTTTAACAAATAAGATTAAAGTAAATTTCCATTCATATAAGATCATAGAGAAATGAAAAATAAAATCATTTAAGTCTCATTCTAAAAATTAAGTACAAAAATCTTTGGAAATTGACTTTTTCTAATTTCATAACTTTGTCTATAATTTCCTGGAAAATTTGGGCTTTTTTAATTAGTTTTTATTTTTTTATTTCAATAGGTGTTTGGGGAACAGGTGGTATTTGGTTACATAAGTTCTTTAGTGGTGATCTCTGAGATTTTGGTGCACCCATCACCCGAGCAGTGTACACTGTATCCAGTGCGTAGTCTTTTATTCCTTGCCACCCCCAACTCTTTCCCCCGAGTCCCCAAAGTCCAATATTTCATTCTTATGCCTTTGCATCCTCAGTCCTCATAGTTTAGGGCCCATATATGAATGAGAACATACAATGTTTGATTTTCCATTCCTGAGTTACTTCATTTGGAATAATAGTCTTCAATTCCATCCAGGTTGCTGCAAATGACATTATTTTGTTCCTTTTTATGGCTGAGTAGTATTCCATGGTGTGTGTGTGTGTGTGTGTGTGTGTGTGTGTGTGTGTGTGTATGTGTGTGTGTATACATATATATCACAGTTTCTTTATCCACTCATTGATCGATGGGCATTTAAGCTGGTTCCATATTTTGCAAATGCAAATTGTGCTGCTATACACATGTGTGTTCAAATATCTTTTTTGTATAATAACTTCTTTTCCTCTAGGTAGATACCTAGCAGTGGGATTGCTAGATCAAACGGTAGATCTACTTTTAGTTCTTTAAGAAATCTCCACATTATTTTCCATAGTTGTTGTACTAGTTTGCATTCCCACCAACAGGGTAAAAGTGTTTCCTTTTCACTAACACTTGGTTGTATTTGGCTTTATTTCTGCGTTCTCTATTCTGTTCCATTGGTCTATGTGCCTATTTTTATACCAGTACCATGCTGTTTTCATGACCATGGCCTTACAGATTAGTTTGAAGTTGGGTAATGTGATGCCTCCAGATTTGTTCTCTTTGCTTTGTCTTGCTTTGACTATGCAGGCTCTTTTTTGGTTCCATATTAATTTTAGGATTTTTTTTCTAGTTCTGTGAAGAATGATGGTGGCATTTTGATGGGAATTGCATTGAATTTGTAGACTGCTTTTAGCAGTATGGTCATTTTCACAATATTGATTCTACCCACCCATGAGCATGGGATGTGTTTGTTTCCCAGAAAATTTGACATTATCATTGTTAAATCCCATTTGTGGTTAACACATGTTGAAGAAGACCAATTGCCCTAGGATAATTAATCCCAGAATACAATTCCTTCAAATTCTCTTTTGTTTTCTCCCTTTTTTGTATTCTTGTTTCTACTGCCAAAATTTCCTATATGCTTTTAATCTGCTGTTGTATTGCATAAGCAAATGTTTGCATGAAAGTCTGAGACTGGCTTCATATTCCCACTAAGAAATAAAACCTTAGGCTTAATACCAGTTATTTCCGATTTAAGGCTGCCTAGAGGACATAGTTACTTACTTATGCGTACATAATTCTGAATCAGGCAAAGGGTGTTATTTACTTCAGAAATTATTTGTAACTAAGACATTTCTAAGGCTTAGCCAATAGTCCACTTGTCTGGAGTAAAGGTAGATATGAAATACAGTGAAAGAATGTTGCCTTTTCAGGATTTGTTGGTTTGTTGGTAGTAAAGTTTTATATTTAATGAAATGTAATTTTTGTTTTTTTGAGATGGAGTCTCGCTCCGTCACCCAGGCTGGAGTGCGGTGGTGTGATCTCAGCTCACCGCAACCTCCACCTCCCAGGTTCAAGTGATTCTCCTGCCTCAGCCTCCTGAGTAGCTGGGACTATAGGTGCCCACCACCACGCCAACTACTTTTTTTTTTTTTTTGTATTTTTCAGTAGAGACAGGGTTTCACCATATTGGCCAGGCTGATCTCAAACTCCTGCCCTTGTGATTCGCCCGCCTCGGCCTCCCAAAGTGTTGGGATTACAGGCGCGGGCCACCACACACGGTTTGAAATGTAATTTTAAAAGGAATAAACTAGCAGAAAACTTATTGGCATTTTCATTATTTAAAGAATTTCATTAGGGTTCAGGGCCAAAGGTTCAGAGAGTACTTGCTGTACATCGGTGATTATTAACACGGTTTCATGTTAGAATCACTGACAGGGCCAGCTTCATGGGCATGCCACTTGTGCCATTGCACAGAAGGGTCCTGTGCTTAGTTTAATGCTCTGCTGTTGCTTTCTTGAAATTCTTCATCATTTTGTCTGTGAATCTGTTTTACAGCGGAGTCCTGTGGAATGATAGCGCATGTGTGGCATGCCATTCCAGTCATTTCTTGCCTTTCCAATTTGTGTGGAACATTCATGAAGCTCCATTAGCCCAGAATTCCAGTGGAGTTCATGGGAGTTGAGCAAGATTCAAAGTGCACATTGCTGGGGAGGTAGATTTAAAAATGAAATTTTCTCCCTATCCAGAAAATCTCTCCATAAAGGTAGAAGAGGAAAACAAGTTTTATTATTGAATAAGCACTCAATCAGAATGTGATATATGTTATTAGCCAATCTGCTCAAGAAATTGCAAAAACAGAAATCTCATTTTTTTATATAACCAGGTGAATACAACCCGTTACATGCATGTTCTCAAGATAAACAATAATTAGTCCTCAAGTAAGAGGACTTGACAGCACCATTTGTCACATATAGTTCATCCTAAATTCACTTGGTAACTGGAGTGACCATCTGTGTTAGCTAATTGGCTTTAGCCAAAGGAAAAAAAAAACTTCTATATATTTATGACAGGAGGTAGTTTTGGAGCAACTCCCTGAAGAAGCTTGTCTCCTCCACTACCACAGAAACTGGGAGACAGGGGCTTGTCCTTGAGAAAGACATTCCTGTGTCATAAAGCTATCAAAGAAAGTATTTAGTTTTTAAAAGATTTACATACATATCAAAGAGAAAGAGAAAGAATTTACAATTACAAATGTTTACAGTAAATGCTAGTAGAAAAGGGAAGGATGAGACTTCTTATTTTCAACAGGGAGAATTAAGCCTCTAAGTTGTATTTACCCTTACAATGTGATTGAGAATGTGGGGGTGCTGAGAGAGGGGGTGCAGAGAGGCCACACTTTACATTCAAACCAACACCTGCTTTAAATTCGAAAAGAAGGCAATGGCAACCAAGGAATCATATTATCCCTTCTCCCTTCTTTACTTGTGTTCATTATCTGTATTCACCAATCACTTATGTTAAAGATGGTGACATAGAAAAAAGAGGCCTTTCATAGTTCCTTTTCTTTTCAGTCCTTCTTTTTCATCAAAGCAGAAGGTAGAGAGTGTTGGCAGAATGTGTGCATATCCAGAAATGAAATAAAAACAGTTGAGCTAGTTTTGCAGTTTTTCACTGTCCTGATAAGAAAAAAATATATACATACAAGTATGAGCTACACAGTAGCAATTATGTAATTTCAGTAATTCCACTTACAGGTTAAATATGCTTATATGTACATTGAAAACTGTCATTGTACAATACAAAGATGAACAATAAAATTTATTCTAACTTAAGTTTTATACTTCTTATAATAATGGCATTAAATAGCAAGTAAAATATACCATGACAAGTTGAGAAAGACAGATCATGGGAAAGGAGGAAAAGCTCTCTGTTCTTGTATTTTTATCGGCACATTTTCTCCTGCTTTTTGAACAAGGGGCCACACATTTTTGCTGTGCATGGGACTCTGCAAATGACATAGGCAGCTCTGATCCCTGGTGGAGCTTTAAAAACTGAGGCTCCTACATTCTATACCTCAGGACCATAGAATAACAGCCTCCAGACAGAGGGCCCAGCCATCTGTACTTTTAAAATTTAAATTAAAATAGAGGTTTCGGCTGAATACCTCTATTTAAGAACCAGTACCACAGACGGTTAGGAGAAGACTGTGCTGTTCAGAGTGATCAGAAAGGGCTTAATGAAGAATTTTAATAGAGCCATGAAGGAAAAATAAGATTTAGTTGAAAGTTTAAGTGTGATGGTATTAAGGCTAAGCACATAATGAAGAAAAATGTTAAGAAGGTGTCAAATACACTGTTAAAAAAGTATAGCAAGGAGACTGTTTTAGGCAAAAAAAAGTAGGTGAATGATTGGGCAGATGACTCCCAAATTGTTAAAGACTTTTAGGGTGAAGCCTAGTCTTGAAAACACTGGGGAGCACAGAATATTTCTAAGAAATGGACTTGGTACCTAATGCAGGAGAAACTGTTGAAATGAAAGATGGGAGGCAGGAAAGACAGAGTGTACATACGGCAGAGCTCCAGGCAAGAGATGAATAAGGCCTAGATCAGCATTGTATTTTTTTAAAATGCAATTTAACAAATGTAAAAAACAACAAACTGATGGCATGAAAAATGTCACCTGAAGTGCATCCCATTATCTGAATGTTAGCCAAAACAAATCAACATGTCTTTCAGCACATGTTAAGGGTTAAAGATTATTTAAAACATAATGTATTCTTTTGAAAATTATAATTGATTTTACAGTTCAACTTTACAAAATGTATGTGGAAATAATCATTTCATAACTTTTAAATCTGAAGATGCAAAACAGCCTGCAGAATATTTAGTGGGTTGCAAGGGACTATGAGCTCCTTAGATGACTGAGCAAAACTGGACCAGATAATGGCAATGGCCCAAAGAAAGAAGCTGAAAGAGCAGAAGCAAGAAAGGATATGAAAAGATAATCATAGAATTTGTTGGCTGATTGACTGCAAATAACTAAGGAATGATGAAAGAAAAAAACTGGGAGAATGGTGTTGCCAAAGACAAAAACTGGGATTTCAGAAAAGAGAATAAATTTAGTTTTAGATAAGGTGATTTTAATATAATGTTGGAGCAGGTCAGTGGAAATTCCCAAGTGCCATTGATACCAGCCATACAGTCAGAGTTCATAAAAAGAGGTTATCACTCAGGTAAAGTCTGCTAATAGGGATTCTATTTTATAAAATAAAATTTGAATAAAAGATGCTTGAAGTTATGAGAGTAGGTAAACCCTTCAAAGGAGAAGCTTTAAATAGAGAAGATCTTGGCAAAAATGAATAGAGGTGATTATCAAAGGCGGAGAAGAAAAAATTCACTGAGATTTCAATAAATCTAGTTTGATACAGAGTTGCAGGAATCAACTAAATTTTTTGTCTAAAATGCACATTCACTAGACAGCAAGTTGCTGTGTCTGAATTCTGCACACATCTTTCCAATAATTATTTTTTCTTATCCTTTCATTGCGTTCCTTTCAATTACATGCTTATTTTGATATTTCAGCATTTGGGGGTCTCCCTTTGTAGGAGAACAATAAAAGCTTATCTTTTATTGTTCAAAGCATTTATGTTAATGCAAGTAGGAAAGACAAAGTTGCATTTTAAATATCTATTAATGTTTATTATTGTCACAAAGCAAGAATATTTAGCATAATTGATAGTCCTATTACCTAAAATATTCTCTTAGTTATATTTCCTGATGGAAACTTTTCATTGTCATTTTATGTTGTATATCCCTTACAGAGAGTAGTTCAAAAATTTTGAATGTGGGAGATAAAAATTATGCAGGTACAAAAGATGAAATAACAATAAACTTAACAAGATATGTACAAGTCCTCCTCAGTGACACAAAAGTGGACTTGAAAATATAGAAAGATATTCCTTATTCTTGGATTAGGAGAATAAAGTCATGAACATATCAGTTCTCCATAGATTAATTTATAACTATAATGCAACCCCAATACAACTAGTAGTCCCTTTTTTCCCTGGATCTAACAAGTTGATTCCAAAGTTGCATGGAACTCTTTCTGGAGTGGTCAGGGAAAGTTTAATGAGGAATTTGAGATGAGATGACAAAGGTAAGAGAAATGAAAGAGGGATTGTCCCATTAGAAATGTAAAAAAGCCTTCAGAATTAAAATAGTGTGGTACTAGCACATGAACGTTAGAACCATAATAGAATAGAAAATTCAGAAAGAGAATATATATATGAAAATTCAGTACACGATAAAGGTCACATTTCAAAACACTGGAGGAATAGATAGACTTTTAAATAAACGATTTGGAATAACTGAATAGCCAATTAGAGAAAGATGCCACAGTTCAGATCCTACAAAAGAATAAACTGCAAATACATCAGTGATCGCAATCTTAACATAAAATGAAACCATAAAAGGACTAGAAGAAAACAGAGATAAATTCATTATAATTTGAGTTTAGGTAAAACTTTCTAACTGTAACTCAAAATCCAGATGTGTGTATGTGTATGTATAAAGGAAAAGATTGACAATTTGGACTACATTAAGCAACAATAAAATTTTTCATGCAGAAAATAATTTGTCCAAAAATCAAGGACACAGGTAAATTGGGAGACATATTTGCAATATACAGTTCAGGGAAAGCGCTGCTATCCCTAATATGTAATCAAATTCTTAATTAGAGTGGAGGAGAATAAGAGAAAAAAAAAACAAACAAACAGAGCCCGCGCAGTGGCTCACGCCTGTAGTCCCAGCACTTTGGAAGGCCGAGGCGGGCGGATCACGAGGTCAGGAGATAGAGACCATCCTGGCTAACACGGAGAAACCCCGTCTCTACTAAAAATACAAAAAATTAGACGGGTTTGGTGGCGGGCGCCTGCAGGCCCAGCTACTGGGGAGGCTGAGGCAGGAGGATGGCGTGAACCCGGGAGGCAGAGCTTGCAGTGAGCCGAGATGGCGCCACTGCACTCTAGCCTGGGCGACAGAGCGAGACTCCGTCTCAACAACAACAACAACAACAAAACGAAAAGAAACTATTGGAAAAATGGGCATATGACACGAACAGCCATAAAGACGTCTACAAAAAGCTCTCAAACCTAAAAAAAGGTTCAGCTTCACTGATGATAAGGTAAATAAAGCTTCAACTGAGATACAATTTTTCACCTGTCAAGTTGGTAAAACTTCAGAAGTATGGCAACACACAGGCTATGGGCTCTTTCATTTATCACCAGTGGGAATGTAAAATTACACAACTGCTCTGAAGGGGAAAAATGCTTCACAGACATTTATTCTTCAAGCCAGTAATTCCACATCTAGAATTTTACCCTAAAGTTAAGACTACAACAACCCAGAAAAAATATGTACAAGGTTATTCATTGCATATTTGTGGTAGCTAAATATTGAAAACAACCTAAATGCCCGTATACTGGAGAGAGATTGGATAAACTATGTTACAGCCACATAATGGAGTATTTTGTAGTGGCTAAAAATATTGAGGAATACCTGTATAAACTGATATGGAGTTATTATCACAATATATTGTTAACTGAACAAAGCAAGATACAAAATAGTATATGTGATGTGTGCACACGTATGTACATATATATGTGTGTGCTTATATATACATCCTATGCTGAAGTAATTGGGGGTAAAGTGATACAAGGCCTGCAACTAGCTCTCAAATACTTCAGCAAATAAGTTCAGGACTGACTGAATGAATAAATAAATCAATAGGTGTTATATATGTTTACTACACAGAGATAGAGAAGAGAAAATTTATCAAATATGGCAAAATGTTAACAATTGGTGAATCTAGATTTCAGTAAGCAGGATAAATAAATTCAGGAGATCGACTGTACCGCATGGCAATTATCATTAATAATAATGTATGGCATGCTTGAAAATTGTTGAGAGTATATTTTAAATGTTCTCATCACAAAAATGTAAACAAAGTAATGGGTATGTTAATTAGATTCCACAGTGTACATGTATGTCAGAGCATCTTATTGCACACTAAAAATATAATTTTTATTTGTCAATTAAGAAACATAATTGGTAAATCTAGATGAAAGGTATATAAGTGTTATTGTGTTATTCTTGCCTCTCTTCTGTGGGTTTGAAATTTTTCAAAATAAAAAGCTAGGGGTTAGGCTTAGAAGAACAGGCATAGACTTATAAATCAAGGACAGAAATAGCTGTGTGTGTCTCTACCCTTGTCCCACCTCTTGCCCCCTTGGGTCAAAGAATACATACACCCAACTATCCCTATGAATGGGTACTGCTACCTCTGATGGCACAGGCTTGATAACAATTTAGCTACATCCTGCCCTGTCCCTGAGTATCTCCACACAAGCAGAAAACTGGAGATTCATGTGGTTTTAAAAATGTGTTACTCTTCATCCTTTCATCTCTGCCTACTGCAGAAAAGGGTAATGGATTTACGATCGTGTGTTCATATTCTGTCACAGTAAATCAGCAGCCTTAAAAAGGGGTTTGGAGAAGAATATGGAAGAGAAAAATGATTTCTCACCAGTATTTTGGGGGAGAGGTGAGTTACTCAGTGAATTTGTTACAGCCATCAGCCTTGGAAATTGATCTGATTGCAATTTAGCCTAGATTTATTGATCAAACATGAGAAAGATATTAAGCATCGAATTCAGTCCTTTCTAGCCCTGACTGTTTAGATTCTTGTATTCTGGTGCCAATCTAAGTTTCTTTTTGTTTGTTTTAAAGGAAGGATGCAGTTCTCTGTTACGATTTTGAATGGGTCCCTCTGGCCTTGTCTCGGAAATGAACTAAAGTGTGGATTAGGTGACAGGCCTGATCTAAAGTTATGTATGTGAGAGGGGTAGGTGAGTGTACTTTACTAACAGGTTCCTGGTATGGGCATTAGACTCCCAGAGATCATTCTCTGGGAGCAGAACCCTGAGACTTGCCTTGGTCCTGCCTAGACCTCCAGGGAGAGCCAGACTTGATGTGGCTCTTGGCTATAGGAAAGGGAACAGACTGTGCTGGGGAATTTGCAACTTGGAAAGTCTATTTTAAAAAAATGTGGGCTGGCAAATTTTGATGTCTTTACAAGGCTGCATGTAAGATAATTAAACCTAATTTATCTTAAAAACAAAAAAACAAAAAAAAAACTTCATGTTTCTATTGACTTCGTCTTAAAACTAACCCCCAAATAAAACCTTACACCTCTTAGTTGTTGACTCATTGTTAAACTGGAAAGCCAGAAATTCTTTATTTCAAGCCCAATTTTAGTTCAGTTTCTTTTATAAAATGGAAAAAATAACTAACTTTATCAAGTCCCATCAGGTTATTCCATCACTGGAGAATAACAATCCTAACCTTTCTTTCAGATGTTTCTTAAGAATAACCAATAAGCACTAAGGAATCTTGCTGGGAAGTTACCAAATATTATGTAAATGATATTGATTAAAACAATTCAACCAATTTCATCATGTTATGATGGTTAAACTTTATAGAAATATATTCTATTTTTAAAATTTTCATTTTAAACAAGAAAATTTCTACTTTTAAGATAGCGGGTTTTAAAGACAATTTTTAGAATAACAGTAGAAGGTAAAAATCAATTTTATAAGATAGGATTGAGATACTAGAGTGAAAGGTAGTTGCTTGCTTAGAAACCCTAAAGAGACTTAGAAAAAAAAACCAGATTTCAGGGACAATTTGCAAACATTTGTAATATGCCTCATTATGCACATTTTATACATTTATAAAATTTCCACAGAAAATGTCTCAGCAGTTCCATGAATGAAATTAACCCACCAACTCTGAATATCAGAATTTATAAATGTATAAAATTTCCACAGAAAATGTCTCAAGTTTCATGAATGTTAACCCACCAGCTCTGAATATCATGTGAAGATGGTACTTGAAAGAGGAAGAGGCTCTTCTTTATCACAACAACAATAACAACAACAACAACAAAACCCTCTCAATTCAGTTAAATAAGGCATAAATGAGGTTTTCCTTTCTGTGGGGGAAGCACAGAAATGACTTTTTCTCCTGCTTTACAATCTCTCAATAGTTCTGTAGTCTTTTGCGTCTGGTCACATACACATAGTTTTCATTCTATCTGGTGCAATAATCTTCTTTCATTTCTTTAAGCAGCTAACTTGTACTTATCTATAAGAATGCACAAAGATTTATACCCAAGAATGTGTAGGCTTCTCCTCCAATGGGCTACCATCTCAGGCCCTTCTGGTGTTCAGAAATTTCTCACACTTACTCTAATTGCTTGTTTGCCTTCCCCACTGTCTTGGAAGTCTCTGCTGGGGAGGGGGTGTCTATCTCAGGCAGAACTGTATCTCCTGCTTCCAGCAGAATGCTGAACATTTGGTGTTTAAAATCAAACCAAAGCCTGTCTTCTCTATTAGGCTGGTTAATCAGGCAAAACTGCTTAGTGTAGTCTCTTTTATAAGATGAAAAATGTAACTAACTTTATCAAGTCCCATCAGGTTATTCTATCATTGGAGAATAACAATCCTAACCTTTCTTTCAAATGTTACTTAAGAATAACTAATAAGCAATAATATTGTTCTTTTTTGTTTAGCAAACTATTCTTTGTCCTGGAACTGAGCCTCTTACCCTTTTCCCCTCAATCTGATCCTCTGCTGGAATCATTTCTACTTAGCTCATAGGACTCAATTTCGATAATATTCCATTTAAGGAAGCCTTCCTTGTGCTTCCAGCCATGTTTGGGTAACCCTCTGATGTGCTACTCCAGCACTCTACACTTTTCCTATGATAACCTTTATTGTCCAGTATTGCCACTGCCTTTTCTATGTCTTCTACCAGAATGTAAGCTCCATCATAGCAAGGACCATGCCACATTGCTAACCTTTGTATTTCTAGCATGTGGTACATGCTGGTATGTAGTATGTACTTAAGAAATATTTGTTGAGTGACTAGCATTACACTATTATAATTATGTTATAATTACAAATGACCTTCTTCTTTTCAAGTTCTTGCTCTCCTCTCCATCATTTGTACATCTTCCAGGTTGGCCTTTCTTAAATTCTGCCTTCATCAACTTATTGTTTGAAATCTTTTAATGCCACTTTAATGACTACATAATAAAACTTAAACTTCGTATCTAGATGTTAAGGCATTTTTTAAAATATGCCTCTACTAGTCTCACTTTTTGTCCTTCTACTTCTCTTTGTATCTTCCACTCAAAATAGGCCAGTTACCTTATTTTAGATTTATATGACTCTGAACCAAACCATATGTTCATTTGTGAGACTATGATTCTACTTTCAGTCCAACCCTAAAAATGCCTGCTCCATCCATAGTTCCCTTCTCTGCAGTTTTGACCATAGTCTCCCTTTCAAGAAGTCAGCTACTGTTTGAGTGTGTCTCCTCCAAAATTCATGTTGAAATTTGATCTCTAATGTGGCAGCATTGGAAGGTAGGAGTTAGTGGCAGGTATTTAGGTCATGGGGACAGATTCCTCATGAATGGCTCAATGCCATTCCCAGTAGTGAGAGAGTTCTCTCTCAGGTGAGACTGGATTAGTTCTTGTGAGAATGGATCAGTTTCTGTGAGAGTGGATTCTTATAAAGCCAGGATATTCCTCGGGTTTTGCCTCTTCTCATGTATCCACTTCCCCTTTGACCTTCTCCACCGTGTTATGATGCAGCACAGTAAGCCCTCACCAGAAGCCAAGGCCACGCCCTTGAACTTCCTAGCCTGCAGAACCATGAACTAAATAAACCTTTTTTTAAAATAAATTACCCCATTTCTGATATTCTGTTATAACAATACAAAATGGACAAAGAGTTTTTTTCACTAAAGTTACTATGTTGATACATATAAATTTTACCACCTCATTGACTGGGACTTTGGCGTGTGTGTGTGTGTGTGTGTGTGTGTGTGTGTGTGTGTGTGTATTCATGGTGGAGTTATTGATAAAATAACAGCAAATCTCTAGACTAGCTAGATTCTGTGAAGTAGCCTGGAGTGCAAATTCTGCCAAGTATAGACAGCAGTGATCCAGGAACCAATCAGACTAATCTCATAAAAAAAGACTAAATGGGATATTAGTTAGCCAAATAAATAATGAGAGAGATATAGCTAGACCGAAAGAGGGGTTGGGGGAGGGAGAGAAGGAGTAAAAAATAAGTTGGAGTAGAGAGGAAACAGTTGATACATATGAGAAAAGTCGACAATGAGCTGTGTGTACAGAGCCCATGAGGCAACGGAAACTGTGAGGAAGAAGCAGAAAAATACACAGAATAGAGTGTGAGATGGTTGGTAGCAGCTCAAAAATCAGGAATTAATGACTCTCTGCTGCTGTGGAGCTATGAGATAACCGGCTCACCAGTGCCAACTAGACAATGAATAACCTTCCAGTTCCTGGGCCATGAGCCAGTCTCCACAAAATCAACTGTACTATTTGTTCCATTTCCATAATGCCCAATGTATGGCCCAGATTGGAACCGCCCTTATTTCCACTTGTACTATCATAATAATCACATATTCAATTTGAGGTATCCTGAGTGAATCTCTGTTACTGTCACCCTGAAAAGCTTCACATAGATTCATTTTGCCTTCATAAAGCAGTAAAGTACAATTTATTTTGGAGTAATCTCATGAAACAGAAATAACATTCAACTTTCAACCTATAGAACCACAATACAGCTTCTTGTATCATGTAGTTTCTGGAACCCAAATTTTATAAGCTGTTCCATTACTACAAAAAGTGAATGAGCATCTTGCTTTGCTAAAAAATGGTTTCCCTATTAAGTTTCATACATACTGAGTCTTTGTTTTGGGGGGTACAAAATAGTTACTGAATTGTGTGAGTCCTATAATTACTTTTCAACATTGACAGGTAAGATTGAATGTTAAGTAAAGTAATTCTTTCAAGTGCATTACAAGTACTACATACTTATTCAAAATTACTTGGCTTATCTGGTCAATACTCTGCAAATTAATTGAGGCAATTGATTCCTGGTGCTCACTGGGAATAAAAAAAACAAGGAGCTTTACATGAAGTAATTATAGAGCCTAAAACCACATACTGTTGAGAAAAACAGTACAATAGTGTGGAATAAACACTTAGCTTGTGCTCCCAAACCTTCGCTACCCTTTCCTTCCTGAACTTAACATCACTTCTGTCTTATGCCTATGCCCGCCTTTAGACCCACTCTTGTCATCAGCCTTACTCTCTTTGTTCCTCTGTCCTTTCTACTGTTCTGCAAGACCCAGTCTCTGATGAATCCTTCTGAATTTGCCCCTTCTATTACTGGAATATTGAACACCACTGAGAAAATAAAACAATTATTAAGACATGTGTATCAGACATATACTCTTCAACCTCGGCTTGCTAAATATTTTTATGTGCTTGGTCAGCTGTCACTCGTATTCCCGTAGGAAAGAAACCAATATTGAGTTGCTCTTTTTGAGTCCCCTAACTCGGGTCCCACCTCTTTCAACGAAGACTTTGCTATACCTTTCATACACACATACACACTCAAAATATAACACCTCCTGCAAGGTACCTAAGTTTGAATCTATCTCTGACCTTCTGTTCAGTCTCTGAAGCTGGGACATATCAAAGCACAAACTCATCAAGTCCAGAAGGGAGTGCTGCCCACACAGGGTTTTGGAAGTATTCTGAGCAGGACAAATATTTTTCTGGGATATTTATTCTTCTCTTGATATTAGCAAAACTTTTGTTCAGAACTAATGTTAAACTGAAGCTCAGATGTGGTTGCAGGTTTTTTTTAAATTTTGAATTATTGAATAATCACAAAGGGTTTTTTTCTATACAGTGATAAATAAGTGGAAATGATCTGATCCTTTCTCAGCCTTATCCTCACTGATACTGAGTCCCAGAGAAGCAAAGATCGGTTTACAAAAGGAAAATATAACTTAAAGAAATTAAAAACTAATGTTTCTCTAATTGGATGAAATTGGATTCGACTTGTTTCATCTCAATTTGGTCCCTGAAAATTTGCTGCAAAAAATATCAAACTTGGCTGGGCATAGTGGTTCACGCCTGTAATCGCAGCACTTTGGGAGGCCGAGGCAGGTGGATCACCTGAGTGCAGGAGTTTGAGACAAACCTGGGCAACACAGTGAAATCCCATCTCTAAAAAAATACAAAAATTATCTGGGCCTGGTGGCTCACACCGGTAGTCCCAGCTAATTGGGAGGCTGAGGTGGGAAGACTGCTTGAGCCTGGGAGGTGGAGGTTGCGGTGAGGGGAGATCTTGCCACTGCACTCCAGCCTGTGTGAAAGAGTGAGACCCTGTCTCAAACAAACAAACAAACAAACAAACAAACAATCAAACTTTAGTTTTTAAGAAAGTAAGATACTGTGGCTTAGTTTAACATTTACTTTGACCTAAGCAAAGATCATGAAGTATTATCTTTGAAAACCAAATATTTTAAGATTGTAGGTATCCAGTAATTCCTTCATGTAATGTATTAATAGCTAAAAAAAGAGAGGATGAAGGAAAATTGCTTTGGAATTATTATTAACACAAACAAGATTCAGTTCTACATTATAGTCAATATATTATTAAACAATTTAAGCAATGACTTAGAAGTAACAGATTTTTAAATTTTACCAAAAAATCTTTGCTTTTTGCCTCTTTCCTCTAAAAAGTCACACCAATATTAAGTATTTGGGACCCTTAACATTCTCTACACCTTCATTCCCAGATTGTATAACTCAAAGATGCCATTTCTATGTAACTCAGTGGTAGTCCTAATATAGTAATTACAGTCACTATACTGTTATCATTAGTTATTATATATTCTACTTATTGAATAAACATCAATTTAGAATAATAATAATATTAATCTTAGCTAGAACTTCATACATGTCATGATTTCCTAAGAGTTGTGTATGATTTATTCTTATTTTGTAGGTGAGAAACTAAAGATTTCCATTATTAAGTAGCTAGGCCATAGTCAATAGATAGTATGTTGTTCAGTCAGGTTTTAACCTACACCAGCATAACCCAAATGCCACCTTTTAATAACTACACTATACTGGATTTTATCTTATAGGTACCCTACTCTTTAAGTGTGTTCCAATGCAGTAAGTATATCATTTGGCTTTGAGCATCAGTATATAAAGAAGACCTTATCAAGCCCATTTTATAAATTAAAATTCTGAAGTCCAGGTATATTAAGTGACTTCCCCAAAGTTATTTAGCTGGTCCGTGGCAGAGCTGGCTTCTTGATGGTGATTTCATCTATAGACTTTTCTAACAGATGGCCTCAAGGCATATGGCATATATGATTAGAGCCACAAAAAAGTCTCCTTTTGTTGTTACAGTTTCAATAAATAATCTTAATAACACTTATAATATTTTTCCAAAATGAGCTATCTTCATGCTTTTGAGGATAAATCATTTACCAAATCCTGTGAGTTAGTAATCATGCATATAAAGGTGATGACTTATATTCTAACCTGTCTTATATTCTAACATGCTTGTATTCGTTCATGCTTATATTCCAACATGTCTTTTCCATTTGATTTTCCAGATCCTCCTATATATTTTTTCTTCTTTTAATCAGTAATTTGAGGATATTTCACAGTCTTCAAAAATTTTTATAAAAAATATTGTCCAAAGTGTACTTTATAGATGATCATGTTAAGTAATATATGGATCATACTATTTTTAGTAATTGACCTCTCTGAAAGGAACTGGTTGTTATGGTTACCATAGAAAACAGAGAAGGGGAAGGAGGATTCACTTTTAAATTGCTGTAGAGTTTTGTTTTGAGTGATCACATTCACAATTTCCCAGCTGATTTATTTCACCATCCTCTCAGGAAACAAAGAACTAATATACATAAGCATGGAAAGTGCTATTTCTTAATTCTTTTGGTATATACTATATTCCAGATTCCAAAGATGTGGAACCTGCTATCCTTTTGTGTGCATACCCTTAAATAATTTACATAAGTGCTCTCACCTCTGAACACACAATTATTTCATAATTTTCTTATGAAAATTATTTTCTTCTTTCTCAAACATTTGTATAGTTTAGAACTGTACTATACAAATGTTTGAGAAAGAAGACAGTTTTAACCTTCAGCCAGTTTTCTTTGTTGCAGAAGTATTTGTCTGGTTAGGATTCTGCTGAAGGCAGGTAGTTATGCAAAAATCAAAAGGCACTAGTTTCAGTTATGCAAATATAATGTCCTTAGATTATTTGATATATTTACTTAGGACACTGAACACCTGCAGATATGATCAGTTAAAATATGCAAAGAGAGTTAAGTCTCTGACTTATCTATTTATACAAATTTTCAAATGTTTAATCAAGATACAAGGAAGAGGCAAACATCTGAAAGACATTTCTTATTCATCTTTGTAGTAGGGTATGTTGTGGGCCAAAATAAAGTGAACGCAATTACATGCCATTCGAAGAGCTTAACATTAAAGAAAGGGCAAAGGCAGAAAAACAACGATTCCCCTCCATTGCCTCCGTAACTTTCTTTTTGCTTGATTTCTGCCCCTCTTTTGAGAAACAGTAGGATTAAAGTACTCCCCAGGTCTAGAAATTTATACTGTCTGCTATTAATTGATTCGTCCAATGAGCAGATCTTTGTTGAGCAACTATTATGTACCAGGTACAGTGCTGACTATTGCTGAGGACTTTTAGGGGGTATTGCTGCTAAAATAAAAAATTCCCTCACTATTTACTGGGAGAGACTGAGATTTAAAGAAATAAGCAAAGAGACTTGGGAAGGCTAAAAGAATGGGAGTATATGCAAAATATTAGAAGAACACATTGCTCTAGGAGTTGATGAGAAGAAACTGGTTGGTCTGGTAGTATTGGAATGCTATTGAATAGTTAGTAGGAACTGAGGAATATTGAGTTTGAAAGGAGTAATAAGGAAGCGTTGAGGTCAGAACAGAGGATATGGAGAATATTAAAAGAAATAAAAATAATGGGATAAGTTACCAAGAGGAAAAAAAAAAAAAAGGAATACCAAAGGAACTGGTGTAATAAAAAGGGATTTTAACCTAGCGAGGAATCTTAGAGAAGTGAATCCAACAATGAGCCGACATTTTCCCTTGAAGCATATGCCAAATCCCCAACTGTGTGGGGAAAAGTTAGGAAGAAACCTAACAGAAACCGGCTAGACTATAGACTTTCACAGTCTTAAAGGCTAAAAGAGGACTTTCTGCCCTGGATCCACCAAAAAGGATATGCCTGGTAAATATTCAGGCTTTCAGTTGATAGTTCAGAACCCAGTAGGACTATTCCTTAGGAATAAGAGAAAACTGGAAATTGGCAAGCCTGAAACTTGGCATTGAGCCATCCCCATAACTGATTGGATTGAAATGATCCTCTTTTACTCTAATTTCTCTCTAGAAGAAAAGTGAATTTTCTCTGATGAGGTATAAAACTATCTACAGCTTATGTAATTTTATTAAAAACTTTGTAATTCAAGAAAAATTGCCAGGCATCTAAGGACTCAGTTATCAAAGAAAGTTTTTTTTTTTAGTTATCGTAAATATATTGAAGAAAATGGATAAAAAGATAGAATTTTTCACCAGTGAGAGTATCTATAAAAAATCAACTGAAAATTATAAAACTGAAAAATACAATCACCGATATAAAGAATTAAAATAAGACTCGGCATAAGACTCGGCAAAACCGAAGGTATGATTAAGGACATGGAAGATGGATCAGTAAAAAATATTCAAACCGAAGCACAGAAAGAAAAAGAAACGGAAAATACATAACAAGCCACAGATCCAAAAAACGCCATGTAAGATACAGGTAAAAGAAAATACAAATCAAGCCACAGGTCCAAGAAACCCCATGTAAGAAAAGTTCTAAGAAAATACATGTCAATTCACAGATCCAAGACACCACACGTAAGATAAGGTCCAAGAAAACCACATCTAGTCACACCGAAGTGAAACTGCTGAAAATTAAACATAAAGAAAATAATCTAAAACCACTCAGAATAAAAGACATATGGCTTTCAAAGGGAGCAAAGGTAATACAAACAGCTGATTTCTCAACAAGATTAATGAAAGCCAGAAGGTAATCAAATGGCACCTTTAAAGTGCTGAGAACTAAACGCTAATGAAGAATTCTGTAATCAGTAAAAATGTTAATCAAAAATGCTATTTCTGATGTTTTAAAAATATATTTCCAAAAAAAAGTTTTTGAATAAGAGATAGAGACTTTTCTAACAAACATACGCAGAGTGAATGCTTTGCCAAGAGGCCCGCCTAGAAAGAAATACCAAAGAGATTTCTTCTACCAACAGGAAAATGATCCTACATAGAGGCACAATATTGTGTGAAAAAATATATAGCTCCAGAAAGAGTAAATAAGAAGGTAAATATAAATGAATACGGATGTTTAAATCAATGATTAATAATGTCTTGTGAGGTTTAAAACATATATAAACAAAAAGTACATAGCAACAATTGTGAAAAGATGAGAGGCTGGTAAATGGATTTAAAGTATTACCAAATCCTTTTATTGTCTGAGAAGTACTAAAATTACTAACTTATCTTAGAGTCTAATAAAGCTACTTGTTTTTCATAATACCTAGGGTATACTAAGGGTATATATAATACCTAGGGTAGACTAAGGATATACATAATACCTAATACTAAGGGCATAATAGAACACGAACAATCAACAAGAAAAGGAAATGGAATGATAAAATGATAAAAATAATTCATCCAAAAGAAGAAAAGAAAAAAAAAACTGATCAAACAAAAAAAAGTAAGATGATAGTTTTAAACTGAATATATCACAATTATAATATGTAAATGGTGTAAACATTTCCAGTTAATATTCTAACACTGCAGACTATATAAAAATAAAATATTCACTATAACAACCAAAAATTTGAAAGTAAAAGGATGGAAAAAGATAAATTGTAAAAACGCTAGCTGAAATAATGTTGAAGTAACTATACTAATAAGAAAAAAATGTAGCTTTATGACAAAATTATAATAGGAATTTGGAATATATTCAACCAAATGATTTATTCCTATAACTAGTTGATGTGCTTTTTAATAATATTTTAATTATGCTATTTAAACTTTCATTTTCTAAGTGCTTATCTCTAATTAGAAACACAAATGATTTCTGTATATTGACCTAGAATCTAGCCATCTTGCTAAATTGACTTTAACAGTTTATCTGTACATTTTTTATTGTTTTCTACAATCACAATTACGTTATCTACAAATGATGACAGTTTTACTTATTCCTTCACAACTCTTTATCTTTTATTAATTTTATTGTGTTATTGCACTGGACGGAACCTCAGTGCATCATTGAATGGAAGTGGTGATGATAGACTTCCTTTTCTCATTCTCAATACCAGTGGGAAAGCTTAAATTTTTACCTTTAATTTTGATGCATGCTGTAAGATTTCTGAAGTTTTTGTCAATCAGATTAAAGAACATCCTTTCTATTATGATTTAATTTGCTATTTTCTAGATTTTTTAGATAATTGATTTTTAACTTTTTTCCTTTTAAAATATATTAGAGGCTTGGCATGGTGGCTCACACCTGTAATCCCAGCACTTTGGGAGGCCAAGGTGGGTGGATCACGAGGTCAGGAGATCGAGACCATTCTGGCTAACATGGTGAAACCTCGTCTCTACTAAAAATACAAAAAATTAGCCGGGCGTAGTGGCGGGCGCCTGTAGTCCCAGCTACTCGGGAGGCTGAGGCAGGAGAATGGCATGAACCCAGGAGGCGGAGCTTACAGTGAGCTGAGATCGTGCCACTGCACTCCAGCCTGGGCAACAGAGCAAGACTTCATCTCAAAAAAAAAAAAAAAAAAAAAGGTTATACATACACTGATATATGTGTATGTATACACACACATATATTAGAATACAAAAAATATTTCACATGTGTAAGAATTGACCCTGAGTTTATCAGTTCAACACATAAACATAATATTTTCTCAATAAAAATATTACATCACATCATCTGAAAGAGCCATTCTTTGGTAGGTGAAAGAAAGTCAAATATCAGAAATTCCACAAGTTTCAATTAATTATTATGGTATACCCAGAATTCTCAACTGAAGTTATCAGATATTTGAAATGTATTAACTACAAAATGCAACTTTAAAGATGATTAAAGGCAATTTTGTAGAAAAACATTAAATAATTAGATCATACATTTTTAAAAATGTAATTCAGAAAATCTGCAGTGTCATATTATAATTAATTGCACATTATTCAATCTAATAGTTTGATCTGCTGTGAAGAGTTAACTGAAGGTGTCAACAATTTTAAACATAATAATTGTAAAATGCAATTTTGAAGCAACTTCCTTACAAAAAGAAACTTTAAAAAATACATTCTTCAGAAAAATGGCAGTGACGTGGTGTTATAGAGATATGGGTAAAATGAAGTCCTTGATTATGTACTGAGAATAATTATTCTGCTAATATTTTTAATATTCACATAATCAATATAAAGCCTTTTTTTGTTGTCTGTTTTGTTCTGTGGCCAGTGACTTTCATTTGTAAACTGAGATTAAGGCTATGATTTGCTGAAAAGCATTCAGTTTACAAACTAATGTAAACAATTAGGATATATTGCATGACTCTGAAGAAGAGATATTGGGATTAAGTTAATGATTTCTCTGAAGTATTTGAAACAACACCAACTGAAGAACTGTGGCCTTCTAGAAATGTACCAAAGAAACACTCTCATGCATATGCATGTGTAAAGTAATGTAGTGTACCATTGTTTGACAAAAATTGAAAACAATCTGATTGTAGTGGTAAGGATAAAAAAACTGTAGTATTTTTGTACAGATTTTACAGGTTAAAATGAAAGAATTAGATATGTATAAATCTCAACAGTATAGTGTGGAATGGAAAAAGGTAACAAAAGGATAGGTAGATAAACTATTTAAACCTACAATGCATAAAACAATACCATTTATTATTTGTAAGTAGAGTTGATTCCCATTATTTATGGTAGTTATACTTGTTAGATATAGTGAACTCCAAGTTTCTCTTCAAAGAATCAGTATGTCAGTATGTTCAGCTCTCTTATTCTTTGATTCTCCATTTTAAAGTTTAACTTCCTGGTTCTCTTTACCTGCTTGCCTCTAGTTTCAGTAAACAACTTTCCCACCAGTTCTAATCAGTAGTTCATATCTGTTCCTCTGGTCACCTGCTTTGACCTGAGTCACCCCTGGTCACCTGCTCTGACCTGAATCATCCTGAGTCACCTGTTCTCTAACCACCCTTTCTGTCAAACTACTCACCCTGCCACTCTGGCTTGTACCTCTGCTCTCTTTAAAATAGCTAAACGGAATTAGCATAGACTGTGTGGTCCAACCCTAGCCAATAGGGGAATGACACAGCAGTATGGGCTACCTGTGTCAGGAATAAGAACCCCTTCCCCTCCCTTGTCCAGGTGTGTTCCCGCCATTACTCCATCTGCAAGTCGTACCCTTCTATAGAAGTAAAAATTGCCTTGCTGAGAAAATTAATGTTCGAGCACTATTTCTTTGCAGCACCAAGGAACAAGCATTTTGCTTCTAACATATTCTATGAAGTTGCCATGAATACTGAATTAGCAAATAGTGAACCATTGCTCCTGGGGAAAATATGGGGTTAGGTTCCTGCAAGCCTCTGGTCATAACATTTTCATCAACAGATGAATATAACTTTGTGTTATGTGTATTTATTTTTAAAGACACCTTATTTAATATACATTGTTGATACATTACATTGAACTTACAAGCAATAGCATTATATCTCAAGCCTGAATGAAGCTTATTTAACTCATATTTCTCCAAGAGGCACATTGTGGCCTTCTTGCACTTAGGAATACTTGACAGTATTTCAGGACTACACTTGGAACAGACAGACATTAAAACTGGAGATTTTAAGAGAGCTTATTAATTGGTAAGTCTTGAAGAATGTAAATAAGCCTCACTTTCAGTAATTTAAAAAAATTGCCACAGATACTGACAAAGACTCTCTCCTTGATCAAACTTTAGTCAGATTTTTGAGCTCTCCTCTCAACTAGATCTCCACCTAGGCCCCTATTCCTTGCCTGGTCTCCATAGCTCACATTTAACAAGAATCCTGCTAAGTCCGTAGAGAGAGAATCTCCCACTTTGACATCTGATCACCCTGACCGTCAGAAGCCATTTTAAACAGCAAAATCACCAACAAACAGCTCAAAATGTGGTACTAAATAGATCACAAAAAAAAAGTGCTTGTGTACAGGATGAAAGTTGATACAAGAAGGCAGAGCGCCACCTTGCTTAATCTCAGTTAGGGATGTGCACGTTGAACAACTTAAATTTCTCACTGCTCTGTGCACGTTTGCAAATGACTGCAAAAGCTTCACAAGTATTGATTTTGGAGCTGCAAGTAAGTCTTAGAGAGTAGGCAAATTTACAAATATGAAATCCACAAATGATTGGGATTAACTATATATACATATAGTATGATTACTAAACTATGTGTGGGAATGATAAGCACCAATTTCAAGATAATGATAACCTCTGGGGAGATGGGAAATGGAAAAAGATGATGCAGGGCTAGAGCTGATTTTTTTTTTTAATTGGAAAGAGACAAAACTGGGACATATATGGCTGATCATAAATATGTTACATTATTGTTAGTGCTTTTCTACACATTTAAAATATTTCATATTTAAAAATAAAAATTATAGAAGTGTGATCTGTCTGCCTTTATGGTTTCATTGGAGACTATTTACAAAGCTTAATTTGTAGCTGAATTATATTAGATAAGATATAAAGAATTTTTGTGGAAAAAGTTGTCAGTGATTGAAGTGGATTATTGATAGAAGATAAGGAAAGTCTCCAATTAATGATGTTGCCTAAAAACAAGAAAAATCTAATCCTATAAGTATATTTTAGAAACAGAGATGAGAAGTAATTTAACCAGAAGTTTCTAAAGTCAGCTGTACTGTAAAAATAACTGGGTAACTTTCAGAAATATAAAGACAGTCCTCTGAATCCCCAGTCTTTCAGATTTCAGTTGGGTAGGTCTGAAGTCAGTGTTCTTCAAAAGCACACCAAGTGCATTCTGATATATAATTAGGTTAGAGAACCACCAGACTAGATGTTAGCCTTAGACCCAGGGCCACTGCTCTGCAATACTTCAGAAGATACCATGCACACAGCACTCCGCTGGTACCTCTAAGAGCTGTGCAGTGTAGCAGCCCTGTTAGATTCTCATGCTTTCTTTGTTATATTATTTTTGTATTCCTGATTAGGACTATGAGGAATTATAAGATCTAATGAATCATTTAAGACTATAGAATCTGAAATGTAGCTCCAGACACAAATATTTTTAGCTCCGTTTTATCATTCCCTTCTTTAAAAAAAAAAAAATCAACTCCTGTCTTTGGTTGCTTTCAAATCAAGCATGTGTACATGAAAAACAAAACTTTTCAAATGTGGTATAAATAGATATAATGGAATCCTAGTTAAAGTCATTAATGTAATCATATTTGGGGACACAATTATATTTCTAAATCTGAATCCAAACACATCAAAGGAAAAATATTTAGAACCAGTCAACATCAAAGAAATTTCTTGACCAAAAAAATGCAGACAGTTTCTCTATTAAAATGTCTGTGTTGGTATTTTTTAGCTGAGCCTGTTTTTAAAAAAACAATAAAACAAGAAGCAAGTAGAGCAGAGATGTGTGTTGAGTTTCATGTCCTTTCTTTCTCCCTTTCTCTCTTCACCAAACTCATTCAGCATCATTGTCCTTGCTTTGGTATTAGCAGCTCCTTATTTAGCTCTCTCTTGCCTTCACTTTTTGCTTGACTGTGGCTTAGAAGAACTCAGAAGAGGGTATTTATAGGAGAAGAAATATTTATGTATTTTTTTTCTGGAAGACAAAAGCATCTTGTGTTGCAGTAATATTACGTAGAATATGCTGCTTTGTAAACAGTACCAACAACCTCTTCTACTATGAAAATGCTTAAAATATTTTCTGTATATATATTTTAAGTAAACTTTTTATTATTTTTAAACCACAGCTAATTTGCAAACTAGTTAATCAAATTTTGAATCAGCAAGAGCTGAAGAACACAGGCAAATTCCATTTAGTGTGGACCAGCTCATTTCAGACCAACCTTCCCATTGAAAACAACTAAAAAAAGTAGGAAATATGGAAATCAAGTCTTTGAAGGCATTGGAAAGTTATCAAAGCAGTGAAGACTTGAAAGTCCAAGGTCCTGGAGAGAAGGGGAATAAAGAATAATGAGCTCAAGATTTGGTGTCACTTTTCCCTGGAGTTATTTGTAAACTTACAACAGATAACTAAAAGACTGGGAAGCTAGAAATCAGTGACAGAGACTGAGAAGCTGAGAAGACCCTTAGGCAGTTTGATATAATAGAATTAGGGCAACAAAAATTTGAGTTTAGAGCTTTCAAAAGAGGAGAGACCTCGGTAAACATCCAGGCTATCAATCGGGATTCCTGAAAGGCTTACATGCTAGGAGTAAAGTCAAATGGAAATATACCAGTCCTTACAAAGATTGAAACACAGCTTCATCTCTGTTCCTATTAGACTACTGATTTGCCCTTACTGTAGCTGCCTGCATAAATCCAAAGTGAATACGCTCTAGGAAAACATCAAATCATTCAGAGTCTGAAATTTTCTCCATAACTTTCATGGATAATGTCCACCATGTAAATTAAAAAACAGTACTTGGTATACCAGTGAACAAGCTCAAATAGTCAACAATTAACAGAAAATAATTGAAAACAGAAACAGATACACAGGAAATCCATATATTGTAGTTATGTGACACAGACTTTAAAATATTTGTCATTAGTATGCAGAAAAGTATAAATGAAAAATGGAGAACATCAACATATCACTGGAATCAATAAATAAGAATCAAGTAAAAATTATAAAACTAAAAGCCATATGTTTTAGTCCATTTATGTTGCTGTAAAGGAATACTGGAGGCTAGGTAATTCATTGAAAAAAGGTTTATTTGGCTCTGGTTCTGAATCTGGAAAAGTTTGAGATTGGGCATCTGCATCTGGCAAGGGCCACAGGCTGCTTGAACTCATGGGGGAAGACTAAGGGGATCCGGTATGTGCAGAAATCATGGCAAGAGAGGAAGCAAAAGAGTGAGAGGGTAGGGGTCAGGTTCTTTTCAATACCCAGCTCTCACAAGAACTAATAGAGTGAGAACTCACTCACTGCCTCCTCCAAGGGAAGACATTAATCTATTCATGAGAGATACAACCCCATGACCCAAACACCTCCCACAAGACCCACCTCCAACAATGGGGACCAAATTTCAACATGAAATTTTGATGGGTCAAATAAACCAAACTACAGCACCATACATGTTTGCATGTATCTCTATCTTCCTATCTAATCCCCAGTCTAGCTCTGTCTCCTGACAATTGGAATTAACCTGAATTTTAACTTTAATTAAAGTACTCATATATATTTATCTTTATCAATATACTTTTTCCCTAAGAAAAATGTCCAGTTGTTAAAATAGAATGATATAAAGAGTTCAATAAAAACATTACATATACCATAATTTCTAAATGTGTATTATGTTATTTAATAGACAAGTATAAAAATATTAACTAGGATTGTCTATAATTTTATTATTAATGAAGAATGTCTGAGCTGAGCGCTATAAGATTATAGTCTAAACTGTGGGTTATAGATAAGTCTTTGGGTTTCAAAATTTCACTAAATTCTTATTGTTTTACATATCCTGGCAGAAGTCCAGAGTAATTCAATGTGTCTTCTGAGTGAAAAATCTCACGATCTTACTTATTCTAATAAAATCATCACTCTGTAAAGTCAGATGACAAACAGGAGCTTAATCACTACTTTTTAAAAGTAGATGTTTCCTAGATACAGATGTATTTTTAGGTATTTTACAAGTTTAGTTTTAGTGTAGCATGTATCTAAGTACATAAATACATGCATACAGATAAATATCTACTTTAATTGGTTCACAGATTAATGAAATTAATACTGATTTTTCTAGAAATTCTGAGGGACCAAAGGTAAGAGTGGCACTAATGGAAAATGGGAAAGAAATATGTTTTAGCCCGGCATGGTGGCTCAAGCCTGTAATCCCAGCACTTCAGGAGGCTGAGTCGGGCGGATCACGAGGTCAGGAGATCAAGGCCATCCTGGCTAACACGGTGAAACCCCGTCTCTACTAAAAATACAAAAATTAGCCTGGCGTAGTGGTGGGCACCTGTAATCCCAGCTACTCGGGAGGCTGAGGCAGGAGAACGGCATGAACCAGGGAGGCGGAGCTTCCAGTGAGCAGAAATCACGCCACTGCACTCCAGCCTGGACGACAGAGCGAGACTCCGTCTCAAAAAATAAATAAATAAATAAAAAATATGTTTTAGAGCCTAACCCCTGTAGACCAATATTATCTTTCCCATTATGCAATGACGTGCCAAGAAATTAAGTAACCTAGTCATGGGCACAAAGCTAGCAAACAGAAGCATTGGGATGGAAACACAGCTCTTTTTTAATGTTTTTTGAAAGCCCATGTTTTTTCAAACACATTGTACTTTTTTATCTATAGAAATATGTTGATGGAAGGGCACATTTATGTTAAAATTGGTAAGGCAATAATCCCATTAGGAATTTAATGGGATTTTTAGATGAAGTCTATTACATTCCTAATTTGACTGTGGCCAGAAAGTTCATCAAAAGTAGATCTCATATTTCAAAGGTGTATAGAATTCCATACGTATTTTTGTATCTATTATTTATAATCTTTTCCAGGTGAATTTAGCACACAGTTGTTCCAGTTATGTAGCCTTGAGTGCATAGGTGTATAGTGTATACATTGGTTACAATAAATAAATTATGTGAAGCAAAACAGGAGTAAGACATAGGTCTTTATGTAAAGTGCTATGAATAGTTCAATAAATGCATTACATATATCGTCTATGTTGTTATGTGTGTTGTGCTTAATTCATAGTCACAGAAGAGATATACGTCTCCTCAGAACCTAAGTGTTTCCTTAGTCAGAGTTAAGAACTGTGATGTATTACAGCTAAAAAGTGTGCAGTTATGTAGACTCTATTTTCCTTTTGCATTAAACTGCTTTCATATTCTGTTATCATACATGCTCATTAATAGCAATGTTAGATCCTTTGACATTTAATGGATTAAAAATAAAACTCAAATAAATAAATAAATATAGAAAAATAAATAAATAAATAAAACTCTTCTTTATATTTTCAGAAAAGGCCTAGGCAGCAATGTTCATATCAAAGCAAAGTGCTCATTGTTTCTACCTCTAGTCTTCAGTCCAAATGGATACTAAGTATTGGGGTGGGAGAATAGGACAGGTCCACAGCTGCAAACTTCATTATCTTCCATAGCTCCCTATGCTTTTTTCATTTTAACTCCACAACTGCAATGACATGTTTTTAATTTTGTTTACTGTCTCTCTTTCTAGAATACACTAACAAGCAGGGAATATGTGATTGGCACATGAAAGGCACATGCAGAATTCTTGATTACCAAGAACAGAAGACACTAGTTTATTGAAACAGAAAGGATTTTTGGTAGCTCACAAATCTCCTGGAATGCAAGAAAATCAGATGTGGATACTGCGTAGTCAGGAAGGATGTAGGTAGGAAAAATGCTCAGTTCACATCATGAACTACTCTAATAAAACCACTGCAACTGCAGCCCAAAACTTAGCCCTGAGCATGCTTAGGTATAAACACAACTATCTACCATCACAGTGGTTCCAGGAGAACCAGCTTCTAACTCCATGGTGCTTGTCAGGAGGTCTATTCTCTATCCGAGGCCATAGCTTAAAGTTTCTCATTTTAATATTCAGGTCTCCCTCAGGGACATCTGATGGGTGGCACCTAGGTCATATGACTGCACTCTAACTGCAAGGGAGTGTGGAAATATAATCTTTTTGCTCGTTTGGATTTTTTTTTTTTTTTTGAGACAGTCTTGCTCTGTCACCCAAGCTGGAATGCAGTGGCACAGTCTCAGCTCACTGTAACCTCCGCCTACCGTGTTCAAGCGATTCTCCTGCTTCAGTCTCCCAGTGAGAGGTGAAGCCACCTGGGCTTCTGGGTCACGTGGGGACTTGGAGAACTTTTATGTCTAGCTGAAGGATTGTAAATCCACCAATCAGTGCTTTGTGTCTAGCTAAAGGTTCGTAAACGCACCAATCAGCACTCTGTAGAAAACGACCAATCAGCAGTCTGTAAAATGGACCAATCAGCTCTCTGTATAATGGACCAATCAGCAGGATGTGGGTGGGGCCAAATAAGGGAGTAAAAGCAGGCCACGCGTCACCACTGGCAACCACTCAGGTCTCCTTCAGCACTGTGGAAGTTTTGTTGTTTTGCTTTTGGCAATAAATCTGGCTGCTGCTCAGTGTTTGGGTCTGCACTGCATTTATGAGCTGTAACACTGACCATGAAGGTCTGCGGCTTCACTCCTGAAGTCAGCAAGACCACCAATGCACCAGAAGGAAGAAACTCCAGACGCATCTGAACATCTGAAGGAACAAACTCAGGACACACCATCTTTAAGAACTTTAACACCGCAGGGGTCCGTGGCTTCATTCTTGAAGTCAGTGAGACAAAGAACCCACCAGAAGGAAGCAATTCTGCACACACCAGTAGCTGGGATTATAGGCACGTGCCAGCATACCTGGCTAATTTTTGTATTTTCGGTAGAGACGAGTTTTCGCCATGTTGGCCATGCTGGTCTCAAATTCCTGGCCTCAAGTGATCCACCTGTCTTGGCCTCCCAAAGTGCTGGGATTATAGCCCTGAGCCACCACACCTAGCCGGAAGTATAATTTTGAGCTTTTCCCCCATTTTAGTGGAAGAAGGTAAGTTGAAAGAGGGTTGGAATGGGTATGGAATAAGCCCACATGTAATGTACATTACAATAGCCAATTAATATTTGTTGGGTTGCCTTATTACAAATAATATTTTCTTATTTGAGAGTGTATCCTTATGCACTGGGGTAAAATTGGCAAATAGATATTTTCTTAAACACTAATTCTGATTGCTCGTTAATAGTTGGCTAGATATTTTCTTAAACACTAATTTTGATTGCTTGTTAGTAGTCGGCTTTCCCATGTCCAGTGGGAAAAATGTTGAGATTGATCAGTGATGTTTTCCTTATATAGTGAAGGATTATTACTACTCTAAATGTATGTTTGATAAAACTTCACTAGTGGAATAATGGGCACTGCTGCATACCATCAGTGTAAGGGATGCACACGTTTGGTTTGCTTCCTACCTATACTTGTAGTTTAATGTCAAGGAACCAACATGTTACACCAGAAGGGTTGTTTGGGGCTACTAATATTTTCTTAGTTCCACTTCATTAATACTTGTCATGAAGACAAGGATCACTGGCAGAGTCAAAGATTTTTACAAAATGGCTACACAATGCCCAAGTTACTGAGGAACCAGGCTGCTCCTCCAAGGTTATGAGGTCATCCATTTACAGTGCTTTTCCAGAAAATGGTTATGCCAGTTGCCCTTCAGATTGAATAAAACCTGTGTGCTCTAGGCCGGGTGTGGGGGTTCACACCTGCAATTTGGGAGGCTGTGGTGGGTGGATCACTTGAGGTCAGAAATTCGAGACCAGCCTGGCCAACATGGCGAAACCTTGTCTCTACTAAAAAATACAAAAATTAGCTGGGTGTGGTGGTGTGCACCTGTAATCCCAGCTACTCAGGAAGCTGAGGCAGAAGAATTGCTTGAACCTGGAAGTTGGAGGTTGAAGTGAGTCGAGATGATGCCACTGCACTCCAGCCTGGGCCACACGGGATGACTCTGTCTCAAAAAACAAAAGAAAACAAACAAAAAACAACAACAAAAAACCTATGTACTCTCTGGAGATCCAAGACAGTACCAAAGGCACAAGAAGTATGTTTTCCAGAGGTTCCTTCAGAAAACTATTTCAAATAATGCTTCCACAGCACCTTTTGTATTTTTAGGTAACTTGATACAAAATATATATTTCCTTTAGAATTTTTTTTTTTTTAAGACGGAGTTTCGCTCTTGTTTGCCCAGGCTGGAGTGCAATGGCACGATCTCGGCTCACCGCAACCTCCAGCTCCCAGGTTCAAGCGATTCTTCTGCCTCAGCCTCCTGAGTAGCTGGGATTACAGGCATGTGCCATCATGCCCAGCTAATTTTATATTTTTAGTAGAGATGGGGTTTCTCTGTGTTGGTCAGGCTAGTTGCGAACTCTCAACCTCAAGTGATCCACCGCCTCAGCATCCCAAAGTGTTGGGATTACAGGCGTGAGACACCGCGCCCGGCCGGATATTTGTTTTCTAGGCAATAGGTGAAGAGGAACTTTGGAGTTTGGGGTGGGAGTGAGGGAGTATGGAGGGGATGTGCTACTTTGGGACCAAGTAAGAGTATTATAGAAAAAAAAATTGTTGAGTATATGTATAACCTATATGTCTCTTTGGAAAAACCACAAACAAATATTAATTCCCTAAAACAATGTTTACCTGCTGTCCCTTGGATGACTTCAGCTTAATTTCACACTTAAGAGCCTTAAAGATTAGAGCGCTTAATTACAGCAATTACCGTTGATTGCTTTGGAAATAAAAAAAATGACTATGTAATACAAAATCATTAATATTATACTTGGTGGAGTGGTGTTATTATTAATAATAATCTAGATACTTGGGTCCCTATCTGAATTTTTAGCATGATAAAAAAACTTACTGCCTCAAACAATTTGTTGTATCACTAAGATATTATTACATTCAACAAATATTGAATAAATGACTACTGTATGCCAAGGTTTGAAATAGGTAGAGGAGCTATCATAATGAATAAGACAAGTTCTCTCAGGAAGGTCACAGCCTGGTGGACAGCACAGATAATAGGCATTACACAAACACAACATCATAATCAATGTGCATGTGATACTATGGGATCACAGCCTGTAGATTAGAGAGACATTTAGAGGGGGAGACAGCTGAGCTGAAGCTAGTTGTTTTCCAAGCAGAGAAAGACAAGGTCATTCCAGGCAAGGAAATAAGGGCAAACCATCATGAAAGAGCATAGTGTATCTGGAAAAAAAAAAACAAAAACATATAATTCTATGTGGCTAGAACATTGGGTACATGTTGGGAAGACACAGAGATGAGGTTGCAAAGCAAACCGTGTTCAACTTGTGAAGGACATTAAGCGGCATGCTAAGGAGTTGAGACTTTCATTTTGCAGTGAGAGACCAAAAAAGGGTTTTCAAGCAACGTACTGACATAATCAGATTTGTATTTTGTAAATGGAACTCTGGCAGCCACATGGAGGAAGAATTGGCAGGGGGAGGCTGGAGTCAGAGAAACCAGTTAAGACTCTAATTCAGAAGACCAAATGAGAGATGATTATCATAAACATGTTTCTGCAAGATAATCTGACACCCACCGGCCCATAAAGACAATGTAATGTGCCTTGACACTTCTGGCTTCTTCCCAATCTGCACCCACATATACCTAGTTCCCTTTAGGTTTTTGACCTTTGATTCCAGATTATGTCCCTTTACATCTGCTCTTTCTGGCTTCTAAGCTCAATTCCTCCATCAAATTTCTTTCTCTTTCTTGCCTCACAATGGATGCACTCAGAGATCAAATCCCTTGTAAATACCTGGTATCTGACTCTCAGTCTAGACTTTACCTGAACTCAATCTTCTGAGCTGAGGGATAATAGCCCACTCACCCTGCTATTTTTCTGTGTTGGATGACAGGAGATCTAGACATTGACTAGCTACTGAATTTATCCAACCCATTCCTAGCTTTTTAAACTCAATGACTTCACCCACATAGCGTGCCATGGGCTGGAAAAGCTCCCATGGGAAACACAGATGAGGTATTGACTACTATACCAGCTCTTACAGCCCTGGACTGGGTGTACAGTGCTGATGAAAGTGACTCACTCAAGAATGAAAAAATTTCCCAAAAGAATCTAGACAGATTCTTGTAATTAGCACTGCCACTCAGGAAAACTTTCCTAGATCTTAGGTCAAGCTTGTCCAGCCCATGGCCCACAGGCTGCATGTGGCCCAGGATGGCTTTAAATGTGGCCCAACACAACTTTGTCAACTTTCTTAAAATGTTAGGAGTTTTCAGCTGTTTTTTTTGTTGTTGTTGTTGTTCATCAGCTATTGTTAATGTTAGTGTATTTCATGTGTGGCCCAAAAGAATTCTTCTAATGTGGCCCCCTAAAGATCGGACACTCCTGTCTTAGGTTAAAGCCAAGTGAAGTTTAAAAGATCTTACAATGACACAGAAGGAGCTAACACCCTGGGTTAAGATGGATTTCTCAGAAACAAACAAATAAACAAAAGGTGCCACTGGAAGAGTCAATCCTAAATCAGGCAAAGGATACAAACCTCAGAGCCCCAGAGGAAAACATTGTGGCTTTCCTGAGGAATCAAGAGATAGCGAAAGCTGAAATGGGTGTTGTCAGCCATGATGATCTCATCTTCTGATATAAAGAATCAACAGTTTATTTGGCTGAGTCACAAGCCACAACACTCAAACTTGAATGTGAATGCAAAGACATATTTATTGGCACAAAGCCATTCTCCCTCCAGCCTAAGCTGCTTTAAGAGAAGGTGTGATTAGGGGTGTGGCTGAGGTCTCTTTGTCTCTAATGGCTAGATATACCTGTTTGAGTATGCTGAGGAATTTCAGGGAGATGAACTCAAACTTTTATGGTTCTGTTGCATACAGGTGCCCAATTTATCATCCCATCAGTTCCATGAAGGATGGGGACACCATGATTCTACTGATAAGAGTTATACAGAACCCACAGTAATAAAGGAAAGCTAATGTGATTTTATTGGTGGGGCCTTTTGGACTAATTTAATGTACTATTATTGTTACTTCTAAACTTGAAACTACAGCAGAAATTGATGTGTTATTTACTTGTACTTCCCTGTTCCATAAGTGATGGAAGGAATTCTCCTATATGGGAAGAGCAACATGTAGAAAAACGCTAGTTTAAATCAGCCATCTCTCTGGCCCATTCCAAGCAGGGCCCCCAAACCATAATGACCTCTACAAGCTACAAGTCTGTGTAACTGATGATTTTGCCTATTGGAGTCTCTGGCAAAGGGAACCTTTACTGAAAGCTTCCATCTGGAAGCGCATCTGTGGTTTTACACTCATCACTTTACTGACATGGCTACTGGGTACATCCCTTTTGGAAGTACCAATTAGCTTTCTACTGGGCTTACCCTTCTCTTGGTGGCTATCAGTGGTTTCTCTCCTCCACTGACATCCTCACAGTTTCTGGTGTTAATTGCACCAGTTCCATCAGCCAACTCAGGTCATACCATTGGGCCATTGAAACTAGTCTATGGCATGTCTTCAGTTTTTTAGTCGATCTGGAGTCTGAAAATGCATGGCTTTTATTACAAAAGCCACTCAACAATGGGCTGGTTGTCAACATATTTGATGGGCTTTTCGCTCTTCTCATCATCCACAGGCATCCTGTATCAGGGCATGTTGGAACATCCTTCTCAAAAAACAATGCCAAAGGATTTTTGACTCTACCACTCTTTCCTCCCACCGGTTCACCCACTTGTGCAAGACAGTTTGTTCACTGTAGGTGGCTGTCCCCAGAAAGGAATCATCTTCTCTCAGCCTCTTCCTGAGTTATAACTAAAATGAAAGCAGTATGGGTATTATCCAGATCTGTTTTAAAAATTTGAGGTTCTATCCTGATCATTCCTGGACACAACACTTCTTTCTTTCTGTTAATGGCAGCCTCAGGGAAGTCTGGTTGGCACGCCCTCAAGATAGCTGCCAGACAAAAAGGGCCTAGAGAATAAAAACTTATTTCTGGTGCCACTATCTGGCCCTCTTGTGGGGTTGACATCCCCCACAAGATAAAGGTCACTGGGTTGAGTACACTGCTTGCTGAGTGGCCCACGTAGGCCAAGTGTAGGACAAAGGGTCTCTATGAGTGTTATAAGAACGCTTTCTACCTTCTGGATGTATTGGAACCTTCTGGACGAAAGGTCTAAGAGTGAGTAGGAAATGATTTATAACAAAGTGAAGTTACTCTTACGGGAATGGAACATAAAAACTTTGTGGCAGTGGAGGTAGAGCCACAACCCTGGCCTCTGGGGAAGGAAAACCTTAGACCTCAGTAGGTACAGAGGAAAAAAGGACATTAATGAGCTATGTCTTTCAAAACCACCCTGGGGCTGGGTGTGGTGGCTCAACCCTGTAATCCTAGCACTTTGGGAGGCCGAGGCAGGCAGATCACTAGAGCTCATGAGTTAGGGACCAGCCTGGACAATATGGCGAAACCCCACCTTTACAGAAAAACAAACAACAACAACAACAAAACATTAGCTGGGGGTGGCATGAGCCTGTAGTCCCAGCTACTTGTGGGTCTGATGAGGTGGGAGGATTGCTTAAATCTGGGACGAGCTTGCAATGAGCGGACATAGCATCACTGCACTCCTGCCTGGGTGACAGAGTGGTACCCTGTCTCAGAACACAAACAAACAAAAGACCATCCTGGAGGCTTCCTCAGGAAGGAAAATGCAATAGTGTGGCTCTCCCTATAACCATTGCAAGCACTTTAAATAACTTCTGTGTCTGTCATTCTCTACCAGATGGTTCTGACCCCAATACAGTTACTATTTCCCTTAATTTTACTGAGAAATCTTAGAAACAACAGGGGAAGGTCTCAGCTGCTACGCTTTCCAGGCAAAATGCCTGATAGCATCTCTGAATCTCTTTACCACTCCCATTCCCATAGCCAATACGCAGTCATTCCATGGTAGGACAAATGCCACCCAGGTGGTACCTTGAACAAACGGGGCAAGTTGGACTCTTCAGGAAGTTCCTCCAAAATCAAGGATTAGACTCAATCACTCTAAATAAGAGTAGAGCCCTAACCTGGCTTGGAGGCCACATTGGAAGCAGTGTTCATCTGTCCCTGACTAATGTAGCTCCCGCCAGGCAGGCTCCAATGATTACAAATAAGAATTACTTCCCCAGGACTGTACTACTTGTGCAGAAGTCAGAAATGGACTTGCTTCCCTCTTTAAAACACTGTTTTGTACCTTAAAGGTGTTCATAAAAGACCTGAAAATGTTTAAAGAAAAACCACCTATACATCACGTAGCCCTCAGATGACTGTGAAAATCTCTCCAAAATGAGGTTACTTTTAGTTACTCAAGGAAAATCCTCAGAGGGATAACTGACTTGTTATTTGTGTGCACCCTCAGGACAGTTTATCCTACAATGGCAATTATTCCATGAGAAAAGCCAATACAAAATGTTTTTCTGACTTTACCTAAACTGATCAATGATACTACTTTAGCGCCAAAAGGCATTTAGGTCAGTCTCAATTCACTTTCCAGGGTTGTTATGAATGACAGAATCATTCTAGACTTTTCTCCTTGCAGACCGAGGTAAAATCTGTTCATCACTAATAAATCATACTGTATCTGGATTAATGCCTCAGGCCAAGCAATTTAGGGAGAAAACCACTTGATTTTCTACAGTAAATACTGATGGTTTATGGGATTTGTAGAGTTAGTTGGGTTTGATACCCTGGGGACAGGATTGAGGTCAGTACTGCAGGATGGCCTCATCCTATTGTTTGAAGTTCTGATGGTGGTAACCTTAATTAAATGCTATCTAAGACTACTTGAACAGATTTGGTCCCAGCCTCTGTCAGTAAGATTGATCAGCGTGGCTGATGGAGTGGCATACTCATGGGAAAACTCATTAGAAGCCAAGGCAATATAGAAATATGCGGTGGGTATTAGTGGGAGACAATACTCCATAGGTCCCTTTTGTTTCTGCATGTCTTTGAGCAGAGGCACTGAATTCCTTTGTTTCAGACTATAGTTTTGAGATATTTGTTTATGTTTATGCAGCAAACAGTCTTGGAAGATAGAGATGGTGTCTCCCTATAGGGCAAAGGGTAGGCAGTTTTACTCCCTGTTATAAAAGATTCAAATTCCCTAAGCTCAGGCTCCTCTCCTGTAACATCAGCCTACTGAATGCAGATGTCACCTGACTTTTTTTGTGTTGCCCTGTGGGAACTGGAGTAGAAAACTAGAGCAAATGCCAGGAGATTCTAGAGCAAATGCTGGGAGATACTAGCTACTGCTATTGCCATGAGTAATTAAGTATTTAATCCTAACTCAGGAGTCTTATGTCTTCTGTCAGCATCCATGAAGTAAACTTGTAAAATTATAAGTAAGATAAAATTTCACATACTTCACAGTTCTTAACAGCTACCCTATGGCAACTAGGGAGATTCATTATCAAATACCATGGCTCTCTTTAGTTCTGTCATTGATCTCTCTGATGCTTCCAAAAGTAGAACCATACATTTTGTAGTTGAAGCACCAAGATATGAAATAGTTATTTTCAAACTAATAATATTTTAAGTGCCAGAAAAGATCAACATCAGGCCATAGACTAATTAAGAAAATGGCAAATGCAGTAATATTTGGAAACATATCCAAACAAACTATTTTACACTCTCACAATATATTCCAGCTATTGAAGCCATCCCTTCCTCTTTGGGTACTTTTAAAACTTATGCAGATAATTAGCAGAATGTAATTGAAAAAATGTAGGGTGAAATATTATGAAACTTGAGTTGAAGAGCCAGTTTTGCCCATTACTGGCTGTGGAACCTTGGACAGATTACCTCCCACTGCTTTGCATCTCAGATTATTCATCTTTAAGATGTGTATTGGAGTGGGAAAAATGAATTCATTTTGGTAGATAATTTTTCCCCCCAGTTCTTATTTTCAGTGAATAGTAGGAAGAATTTATAGCCAAGTGGGGAATTATGAAGTTTCTTTTCCTCCCTATGTTTGCTTTAGCAGGAGGTTCAGACCAGGAATAAAGATTTTTACAACTGTCTACTTTTCTTTGCACATGTAAGCAAGATCTGTTTTAACCTTCTTTGAATTTGGGTTCACATTCCAAGAAGGCACCTCCTATGAAATGAAATGTAAGAGAGGAACATTCCTTGCACAGAAGGTCTTTTTATTTGCTGCTCTCACCACACACATCCATCTTTCCTGTGGCCAGCATATTACACAAACAGGAAAGTTAGTTGATTTCCTATTCAATACATGACACAACTTTGCCAAGGTCATGCTGCCCTTGCCAGGGCTAGCCACAGAAGGAACACACCCATTCACTTGGACTATCATAGGATTTTTTTTCTGGGCACAGTGCAGTAGCTATAAAATAATTATTAGTCTAATTTGTTCATTCATTTGTCTATTTGAGTAAAGTTTCTAGGACCTACCACAGCCAGCCAATAGGAATAGTAATAGTATTAATAAGACCTTATACCTGCCCACAAGGATCTCGCAATCGCCTGAAGGAGGCATTATCTACCAACAGATAATTATTATACAGCCAGATACAGGCTAAAATTATAAAGGTAGGGGCATGAACAGCTCTTCTATAAAAGGCTTCTCAGGGGAGGAAATCCTTGAGCTAAGATTTAGGGGGTTCATAGGTAAAACTAAGTAGACAAAGAATGAGGATATTCAAGCAAAAGAAAGAGCATATAAAAGCAAGGGAGGTCAACCAAGATAGAAGATCAGATACTTTAATAAGGCTGGAACATAGGTTACTTGTAACCTTAAAGGAAATAAAGATAGGCAGATAGGAACATTCTGGGATAAGTGGTTTGTGGGTTTAAGACTTCAGGCTTTTGAGCCTGTTTATATGCTGAGTAGAAGAAGACAGAGGAGAGGCTGAAGATAGGGGGAAAAAGGTCATTGCTGTATAAAGTTCATAGGGAAATTAGGACAAAATGATTTCTTGACCAGAAGGTGAGTAGAAAGGCTAGTCTGAGACTGAAAATGGGTCCCTTCTTCATCTTAGAAAGATATGCAAAAAGAAAATGGATGCAGATGTAAGAAACTTTAAAAGAGAAGTGAGGAAAGCCAAGAATTCAGGTTCTGGCACTAGGAGGTGAAAAAGAAATAAGGTTCCTGCAATCTGTGTGGTCAGCAATTCATATGCTTAACTCAGTCCTTCCTCCCTTCGTTCATTCATTCAAAAATATTTACTAAGCACAGGAATGTAATGATGAACTAGACACTGATTCTCCTTTCAAAGAGTTTGCAATCTAGTTCAGGTAAAAAGAACATAAACCTTGGTAGGCAATAGGTACTTAATATATGTCTATAGAAAGAATGAATGAATTAAACACTGCCCCTCAAAACAGGCAAAGATGAAGTATTATTAGAATAGAAAGGGAAAGGCATGCTTTTTAGGTCTGTATGGGATCTGAAGAACGAGTAGATCTGAATATACAGAGAGGGGTGTGGGTGAGGAAGGTCACTGTGCAAAAGCAATACATTAGCAAAATTCTGGAGGTGGGGAGAGATAGGACCTAAGTCAGGGAAGAGCAAGTCTCTTCTGAGGAATATGCAACAAAATAAAATTGGCAACATTAACAAAAATCTTTCTTTCAGTTTTCTTTGGCTCTCTACATCAATATTAGTGGTATTTATTGCTTTGGGTGGGAGACAAAACATTTCAAAGAGAAGCCAGCATTAAAGTAGACATGTGACAAATAGGAGAAAGACAGTGCCTTGAATCTCCCAGAGCCCCAGAGAAGGGAGAGAGAGCATTCTAAATTTTCTTATAGCCAGGGAGAGCTGGCAGTGGTTGTGACATGGAAATTCCTATAGGCTGAGACAAGGAGGACTCAGGGTAGTCTGCAAAGACCTGGTAACTGAGGAGGAAAAAGAGTATGTACATTTTTTGTGTATATAACTTCAAAAGGGTGTCCCGTGTTTTAACTTGTGAAATCTGGCAAACCCTACATGAATAAGACACTTCTTTCTGGGTGCTAGGACAACACAAAACACTCTTTCCACCCTAACCTCTAAGTCTGTATCATCTTGGGGAAAATGGGAAAAGAATTGAGAGGAAGAAAGAAGACTTGAATTCACTTGAATTTAATTCCAATTAAGCCTAAGAAAATCCAGAAGGTACTAAGTTTATTTTGATGGGCAAGATTTAGTTTTCTGACATCAGTGGAAATTCACTTATAGAAAAATAAAATTTTTTTTGGCTTCTAAGTTTATGACTGAAATTTAGATACTATTACAGTGAATAAAGTCTGACTCTAAACAGAAGATCCTAGTTTCTAAATACATTTCCTACAATCAAGAACCAGAGCTTCTTAGAGAAATTACTGATTCAAGATCCAGGTAGGGAAGATACAAGGTAAGTCTGGGATGTATTGCTGCTCCAGAAAGCAGAAAGTTTTTCAGGACTGATGAGGTTTGTGAAAAGGACACTGAAACCTTATTTAAGGGGCTCCCACTGTCCAAGTTGTAAAAATCCAAGCTTCAAAAAGAATAATGGTTGAAATTGATTGAAAGATATTGTATATATGAAAAAAATCCATGAGTTGATAATGATATTCAAAAAGAGAAAACAAGAAAAAAGTATTTTGTCATCATTCATGGTAGCTATTAAGTCACTTCCTTACTTTGAAAAGTGGTAATTAAAAGAGATAAGACTTTATCTTACCTTTCTAGTAAGTATTCATAGCAACCAAATAGCCTGAGTTAAACAGGAAAGCCTCATGTTATAGAGGAATAATAATTATGTGCAAAGAGTGACAAGATTGGACATTAGCTATTTTTCAGTGCTTGATGAAATGATTCAGGAAAGAATTATAAATTGCTATTGAAATCATTAGGTGAATTGTTGATGAAAAACCACACATTTCATATGGTGGCAAAGTAGCATAGTCAGATTACCTTCTGGTCACAAAGAGGAAAAACATAATTTTTTCATAGAGGAATCAGAGGGTCGTCACCTCATTCCAGTGGCCAAACCGTAAATAACTGATAGTATCAATATAATACTTTCTACTGTTATGTGAAGTCTATAACACCATCTACAATGCAATTTTGCTAATTAATCTAATTAAACCTTTAGAGTCTATTTTCTAGATTACAGAAAATACAGGGGTTAGATTAGCACTACCCAAAAGAAATATGTGTGCCATATATATATTTTAAATTTTTCTAGTAGCCACATTTAAAAAGTAAAATGAAAAAACAAAATTAATATCAGTAATTAAAACATTTAACCCAATATATCTAAAAGACTATTTCAATATGTGATATAAACTCTATTAATGAGACACTATATTCTTTTTATTTGCAGAATGTCTTCTAAATTTGATGTGGACTTGTGCTTACGCACACCTCAGTTTAGACTAAGTACATTTCAAGTGTTCAAAAGTTAGTGGCTACTACACTGGTCAGCACAGGGCTATAGGGCTACAGGAATAAGCTAAATAATACCGTGATGGTTAGTTTTATGTGTCAACTTGACTAGGCTATAGTACATCCTTATTCAACCAAACACTAATGTAGGTATTGGCTGTGGAGGTATTTTGTAAATATGGTTAACATTTACAAACACTTTAAGAAAAGGAAATTATCCTTGATAATGTGTGGGCCTTATTAAATGAATAGAAAGAATTTAAGATCAAAACTGAGATTTTCTTGAGGAAGAAGAAATTCTGCTTCAAATCTATAGCAGCATCTTCTATCGGAGGGTTTCCTGTCAGCTGGCCTCCCAACAAATTTCAGACTTGCCAGTCCCCACAATTTTATAGATTATTTCCTTGAAATTCATGATGATATATATATATGTGTGTGTGTTTGTATGCATATATAAATTTATAAGACATACATATAATGATATAATCTATATGACCCATATGTTGAATTCATAATGATACGTATATAATCTATAAAAACACATATATAGAAATAGATACATATGTGTAGCTGATGTATACACAGATGAGCTCTAAAGGACATGTTGGAGACAACTGGAAAATTTTGAACATGGATTTAATTAGACAATTAAAGTATTGTCAATTTTGATAAGTGGGATAATTTAATGTTTCAATGGGGGAAAATGTCCGTATTTTTAAAAAATACCTTCTGAAGTATTTCAGAATGGGATGTCATGACGTTTCTAGATTATACTCTATTGATCAAATATACATGAAATCATAACCCTGTAGTACAATGAACAAAACATACTCAGACTTCATCTTCATTGTTACAAACTACATTGTCTCTAGCATAGCAAATCATAGTTATCAAAGTTTTAGCCTAATATTTAATAAAATTTTACTGCAGGATAAATCGGCTTAAAAAATTAAACAAGAACCTAAGGCTATGATGTGGTTGTCTCTCACTAGCTGGGGGAACACAAGGCATTCTGCTTCCAGAGCATGAAGGGCAATGACCAGAGTCATAGGTGGTGATGTGGATGGTTCAATATGTAAGTTTTTCCCATTCGGCCCATGTCTGTACATCACATCCAAGGACAGCATGCCTCAGAATGCTGACTCTGAAATCAGCTATTAAATGGATATTTTGGCTTTCTGTATTGTTTTCTTAAGAGTGCAGTTGTCCTGGTCAGGTTACAGTATGTTCTTACCAAAATTCTCCTGTACAACTAAAATGACGTATTTTTCTTTCCTTTCCTGTCATTAAATTATAATGAAGTGTTGGTGACCTTTCTGTTATGGTTACCGTTATTGCTATGGGGATAGTCCTATACATTCCAAAAGAAGAACAACCACGTTAGTTCAATATATAATATTACTTAAGGCCCTTTGTCAGAAGTAGGAGCAAAAGTTGTTATAATAATATAAAGTCTTAATAAATATTTATGTACCTATAATGATTTTAGTGTTGGATAAATTATATGCACAATGTATTAATCTGCATAGTATTTTTTACAAAGCCCTTTCACATATATTTATCTTATTTGAACCTCATGAGACTCTGTAGAACTGGTAGGTTAGTTACTATTAACTCCATTTTACAGAGTAGGAGTGTGGCAGACACTTGGAAGACACCTGACATCCATTCATCCCATCAACGCATCCAAATTGCTAACAACATCCTGATCGTGTTTCAGAGAGAAATGTGCTTTTCCTCAATTTAGTATTTGTTTTCACAAATCATTGTTTAGTGATTTAAGTATAATGACATAAGTTATTTAGCGATTTAGGTATAATGACGTAAGTATAAATCATTATTATATGCATGTCTCATATAATTTATACACACACACACTCCCACACATATATGTCATAGCTCTGCTGTTAGGGGTATATAACACGGTTCAGGCTCATGACTCAAAAAAAAAGAGATCGGCTAGTATTTCTGAGAAGTCTTTGTATGCTCGGGATTTTTTTGGTGGTGGTTATTTGTTTTGTTTGCTTTCTTAATTAAAAGAACCAACACAGCTGTCTCTCTTCTTCATTCTTTTTCTTGCCTTGTATGTAAATTTAAGGACTACAGCTACCATAGCCATTATGCGACCAGGAAGGAAAGACCAAAAGAATCAGAAATATTGGCTCAGCAGTTTGCTTCTGGACTTTGTTACAGGAGAGAATAAACAAACTCTCATTAGAGACTGTAGTTAAGTTTTCTGTTACCTGCAGTCCAGTGCATTCTCAATTGAGTCTGAGACTGAATGTTTAAGTGACATCCCCAAGGTCATGCAACCTATAAGAGGCACAGGTTAGATTAGCTTAAGTCAGTCACTCTTTAGAAAGCTGTCTCATATCCACTTACTGGTCAACAATATTTTATTAAATACTTATAAACTGCTACTATAAATACTAAGATGAATCAGACACAATCTTTTTCCTTAACTCCACAAGTCAAGGAGATAAACATGTAAGCAAATAGGAATAGTAAAGATGTTGACAGGAAAAACTATGAACCAAACAAAATAGGTCTAGAGGCAAATCCAGTTTATGACCTGTGGTTCAGAAGATATTTGCGCAAGGGTGTGAAAGAGAAAGAGATTTGCCTAATATAAAAGGAGAAGGGTATTTCAGCTTCAAGGAGGAGCAGCAGGAAAGGCATACAGGTGGAACTACAGTTGTTTTGTGTAGATCTGTGTGCTTAAGTTTGTTTCTTCTGAAGGTATAGTCTTAGAAAAGGGATTGCATGCATGCGATTTATTAACATGATCCCAGAGAATAAGTACAGGAGTTTTGGAAGAGTGAAACAAGGATAGGGAAGAACCAATACAAGGGTGCATTATCAAGTAGGGTCCTACTGGGTATCTGGAGCACAATTCTGCTCAGACTCTCTGAAGAACTATATAAAACATGCCTCAGAATTGTGCCCCTGAAAGCTAGAACATGGGAATATTTATCCATCAGCTCCTTTCCTCCACTGGTCAAGGGTTGCCCCATGAATTGTTAACTACTTTGTACTTTCAGGTTTGTACATGTCAAGAAAGTTCTCAACAGCATTCTTTCCATCCTTTCAGGAATGTCCCCGGACAGAAATCAAGAGATAAGAGGTACAGCTGAAGTATTGTTAAGTTATACCTTTAGAAAGCTGGTCTCTATAGCAGTAGCTGGACTAAAAGGTAGACCAATAGGATATAAGGCCAGGCACAAAAGATGGTCTGATACACTGTGATACGGTTGTAGTGGAAGACATAATGTCTACAGATGAGACTAGAAGGGTAGACAGGGACTTAATTTTTTTAAAAAGCCTTAAATTCTGGTGGTAGGGGTGTTCGTAAACCTGGGGTTCCCTCCTCCTTAGGGCACACCCTTGAATTATATGTAGGGGTTTGTTTATATAAGTACGGGCCTGTATTTTTTCTTAGTGGGAGGCCTTAGAGTTTCAGAGGACTCAGTGATTTCGAATAGGTTTAGAGACCCCTCTTCTGGTCAATAAGCAGAGTAGAGATAAGAAAATTTTGGGTTAGAGTTAACATTTCAGCTTTTGCTTACTGCTAATGTTTCATGCTTTTTGAATCTTATAGATTGGAAGGCTAGAGTCCAAGATGCATTTGGTGACAAGCCTCTCTGGTCAGCATTCTGTGATTTACCCTGAGATATCTATGGGCCTACTGGATGGAAAACTCTGGTGTGATTGTATTTTTGTTATGAAACATTGCTGTTGAGTGCTATACTTTCTTGTAGACCTCTATGTATTATCTCATTTCATTCTGACATGATTCCCAACATCTACACTGAGTTTAGAGCCATATCTTTGTATAAGATGTGACTCCTTGATGCACCTACCAACACCTAGACTCTTTACAGTAATTGTTGGCTGGAAAAAGTCTGTGATATCTCCACTCTCCAAACTTCTAGAGCCTCAATTTCAATAATAAATTTGGAGCATGGATATATTTTCCCCTGAAATATGATTTGCTATGCTAGAGACAATGTAGTTTGTAACTACATTCCTTCCAGAGGATTTTCAAGGGTAGCAGAATATTGTGAGTTTAGTTAAGGAGAAACTAGCACCAAGTTCTGTGTGCTTACCATGGGATTTATATAAATATTTTAGAGTTATAACATTCTATTTTAAATTGATAAAGACCTAACTTCTACCACATCCCAGAACTCTACATTTCAACTTCTTCTGCCCCGACATTTTATGTTATTGCTGTCACAATTCACATATTTTATATTGTGCATACATTAACAAATTATTTGTTATTTTTACCATTTTTGCCTTTTAATTTTTATGCTATAAAGGTAATGTGTATACTATCATTACAATATTAGAGTGTTTTAAATTTGACTATATTTTTACATTATATATTTCCATACAGTTCAAGTTGTTAATAGTGCCCTTTCATTTCAACTTGAAGAATTCCCTTTAGCATTTCTTGTTAGGCAAGTTCAATGGTAATGAACTCCCACAACTTTTGCTTTTCTGAGAAAGTCGTTATCTCTCACTCCTTCATTGCTGAAGAACAAGTTTGTTGGGTGAGATATTCCTGATTGAGTTTTCCTCTTTTAGTACTTACGATATATTATTCCACTCTTCCTGGCTAAGAAATCCACGGATAGTTTTTTAGAGGTTCCATTTTGTGCGACAAGTTGCTTTTCTCTCGCTAAAATTCTCTGTCTTTGGCAAAAAAGTTTGATTACAATGTGTCGTGGTGAAGATCTTTTTTATGTTTAATCTATTTTTGATTATTTGGGATCCATGAACCTAGATGTTCATTTCCCACTGCAGATTTGGGAAGTTTCTGTTATTTCTTTAAAATGACTTTCTTCCCCTTTATTTCTCTCTGCTCCTTTTAGGACTTTCATAACACATATATTGGTTTTGTTGATAGTGTCCTAAAAGTCCCATAAGTTTTCTTCACTTTTTAAAATTTTTTGTTCTTTTTGTTCCTCTGGGTTATTTTAAATGTCCTTTCTTCAAGCTTGCTGATTGCTTCCTTCTTCTGCTTGATTAAGTTTACTGTGGAAGTATTTAAGCTCTATATGGAAGTTTTCACTTGGGTCATTGCATTTTTTAGCTCCTGAATTACTGTTGGGTTCTTTTTAATGGTTTGTATTTATTTGTTTAAATTATTTGTTTTCCTGATTTTGTGTAGTTGTCTATATGTGTTCTCTTGTAGCTCACTGAGCTTCATTAAGATGATTATTTTTAATTCTTTTTCAGGCAGTTTGTAGATCTCTGTTTCTTTATGGCCAGTTACCGGGGCTTTATTTTGTTCGTTTGTTGATGTCATTGTCATTCTTGAGCCTTATTATTAGTGATCATTGAGGATTTGTGTTGATGTTTGAGCATTTGAAGAGGTAGGCACCTCCTCCAGTCTTTACAGACTGGCTTTAGCTGGGAAAGCCCTTTACCAGTCAGCCCATTTAGAGATTCTGGAAGTGTTGGAAGGTGGGGTCTACAGGCAACCATGGTGCTGAAGTCCTCAGGCTGGTTGCCCTGGTTTCTGGGTCCACTGAGGCGTATCTGGAATCTGGGTCTGTAGAGATAGGCTTAGAGCCTGGGTTCACAGAGGATAGTCTAAGGCCTGGGCCACTAAACAAAATAAATCTGAACAGCCTAAGTTATTTAGTTAACAAAGATTCTCAGATTTGATTTCCTAAATGTCAACTATATGCTCTTTAACAGAGGGACAAAGGATAGTGGAAGGTTGAAAGTAAAAGGACAAGTATAGGTATAATAGAAAGGTATATCAGGCAAATATGAAAATAAATCTGATGCAGCAATATTAATATTCAGTATACAGATTTACATATAAAATATATGTTTAAAAAGATAGAATAAAAGAGTTATAAAGTGAAAAAAGAATGCTACTGTGGAAATCCAAAATAAGTATAAAATGTGTAAAATTAATTTCCACTGTTTTACTTTTTTAAATATGAATATTTGACATAAAATTCTATATTTAGTTAACATTACTGCTATCCTCCTAAACCTTATTCAGCAGTTTGGACCACCTGACTTTTATTTTCTTTCTCATCTTATGTTAAAGTGTTCAAAATTTTAGTTCCAATTTCCTCTTATAAACTTCAAATTAATAATTATTTTTACAGTTAATGAATATTTATATTTATGCACAATTTAAAGCATTATTTTGCTCATCATTGCTTCTTTATCTCATTTGTTCTATCTGGATAAATTTCTTACATATGGAAAGGTAATATTTAATAGGAAATACAGAGCCAAAGAGTTGTTGGTGATCCCTCTCAGTCTTCATTTATTTCAAGATTTATTTTGCAATCATTCTTGAATATTTAGTTGATATACATTATATATCAACTAATATATATATTATATATATTATATATATATTATATATATATAATAGCTGTTTTCTCTTAGCCATTGAAAAATATATTCTATTGTTGCCTGACTCTTATTGTTACTTTTGAAATTTCTGCTCTCAAATTAACTATGTTTCTGGAGATAAAATACCCCAATAATTCCTAACAAGGGCTATGTGCACTTGTTATATGCAAATTGTGTGAATTGTGCATACTAAATTCTCGAATCTTCACAGCAACCTAGTGATTGATATATTTATCTATTATTATGTATTTTACATGAATATAACTAATAAATATTATATATATAAAGCCTGGGTTCATGTGGGCTGGCCTGCCACTGATGCAGAACTGGTCTCTGGGACTCTGAGGGCCAGCCTAGTGCTGGGGTGGGTCGGGAGCCTGGGGCCACAGAGGTCTGCCTGTTGCCTTCGGACTGCAAGGGCCAGCTTTGAATCATGGTTCAGTAGGGCAGACCTTGTGCTAGGGTCTAAGGTGAATTTACATGCTTACTTCACTCTCCTTCCCCTACTTGGAGGTTATCTGTCTCCATACTGCACTGTGTGGGCTTGGGGTGGAATAACAAACGTAATGTGAAACTGTCCTTTCTACCTCACTCAATGCATCTTTTTTTTTTTTTAATTTCTGTGCCCTACACAGGTGCTATAATCTCTCACCTGGATTCCAGAGCTCTTGTGAAAGTATGTTCGTGCATAAATTGTTCAAATTGATGTTTCTGTGAGGGGATGAGCCCTGGCAACTCCTATTCTGCCATCTTGCTGATATCACTCTCTGAAGGCATATTTGTTACTTTCATAATTGAGATTTAAATGGTTATGTTGAGAATTCACACACAGACATTTCAATTTGTACACAATTATTAACAGACATACCCAAAATGTAAAAAGTCATGCGTTATAAATCTTTTTTGAACAGTTATTCCAGTGACTTTTCAGCTTAAAATCTGGAAGCAAAGTTTCCTTAAGATGATATCAAGTACTAATATATTTAAATGTTGATAAGCTGTTACATAAGTTTCAAAAAAGCACAATTTAATATCATATATACTACACACTCAAATTTTTAATCTTTCACAAAATTACTAGGAAAACAGGACTAACATGACCAAAGGTGTTACAGAGTGCATGTAATTCTGACATGGAAAGCTATGATCAAGGAGCGGTTTTCTTTAGGAAGTAATTCTACCAAAAAAAAAAAAGAAAAGAAAAGAAACCTCATAGGAATAGAAGTAATTTTACATGTTCAAGACATGTTAAGTGCACAACTATGACTCCATATTGCCATTTAGTATGCTTTGTATTACAGGATAAAAAGTACCACCAGCTAGAATATTAAGCTGCTACCCAAGACAGTCAAAGTCTCCCGTAAGTCAATATCCCACGATTTTCTGGTTACACCAAAAAAATAATAATAATAATAAAAAACAGAAAATGATTTTACCTCTTAAAAAATTACACTTAAAAAATGGGAAGAGGTGGGATTTTCCCTTTCCTAAAAATGCTTCTAGAACTACTAAAAAACTTGCATTTACAAAATGGTTGATAAAAATATTCCTCTGGATTTATAAGAAGGGAGACAAGAATCACTGATAAGCCATGATATATAATATTAACTAGACTTGGCTTCTTTCATTTCACTTCATCAGAGGCTGGACTCTCCTCATTTTTAGTTTCTCTGTTTTCTGCAGGTAAATTTTATTTGGTCTCTTGGTTAGTCACTTCCCTTTGCTCCCTTTACCTTTTTGTTTGCTTTTTTTTTTTTTTTTTTTTTTTTTGTCTAAAGGTTTATCCTTTCCTGCTGCCTTTCTTGGCTTCATTTCTACTTTTGCAGGAACAGGCTTAGCTCATTGATCTCTTGGGCTCTTCCTTTACTGCTCTTCCAGTGGAGCTGACCTTCTCTTGAGCATCTTGGTAGCAAGGAGGGCTGCCTGGATACTGCTGGTCCTCCTGAAACTTTATTTCTTTAAAAAATATTCTGTAGCTCACTTTTCAGTAATTCAAATTTACCTTCTCCTTTGAGTTTTCCTAATTAGAGATATTTTACTATGCTCTGCATCTGTCTGGCTTCACAGTTCCATGAGATAATACCAAAATCTATATTTTTCTTGGATTTGCTCCTTGTTTACCAGATTTCTTTCACTAGCTTAACCATGCCTAAGGCACATTTAATAGCTATTTGTACATAATTTAAGAGAATTTGATTAGAAACCAAAATTTGTTTATTTCATTCATGTCCATTTTTCATTCATTCACGTATTGATCAATCTAACGTTTCATTATGCATCTACTAAATGTCATAAAGTCAGTAAAAAAATCTTAGGGGACCAAACACTAATAAAGGCGACGACTGATGCCAGAGACTGCTGGGCTATGAGAAAGACCTAAGCTGCTTCAGTTCCATGAGGCTACTGACACATATTTTAAAATGAAGACATGACACACTTTTTTTTTTTTTTACACACTGTCTTGGTTTGGATTGCTATTACAAAATACCACAGACTGGGTTGTTTAAACAGCAAATGTTTATTTCTGACAGTTCTAGAGACTGGAAGTACAAGATCAAGCTGCCGAACGGTTGGGTTCTATGTGAGGGTCCTCTTCCTGTTATATCCTTTCATGGCCTTTCCTTAGTGCATGCACAGAGAGAAAGATCTTGAGTCTCTTTTTCTTTTTGTAGGGGAATAAATCCTACTATGTGGGCTGTAACCCTCACGGCCCAATCTAACCCTAATTAGTTCCCCAAGGTCTCATTTCCAAATACCATCACATTAGGGGTTAGTGTTTCAACATATGAATTTTGGGAAGACATAAACAGTCCATAGCACATATTACATTTAACAAACTAATGTGATATAAGTATTATCTCCATGCAATCATAGTGGGATTTATAAACTATACTAACTCATAGTGTCCTGCAAAGCAGTATGGTCCAATAATAGACCCAAGTTTAAAGTTATCTGTTAAATGCCATCTGGTCAGCCTGTGTCTATCTGTATATCTGTGTTTGGAGACAAGGTCAAATTTCTAAATTTGATGGCTTCTCTGAATGTGAGACCTGGGCCAAATGGCTCCAGCTGTTTACTAGCAAATTACAATAAATTATATATACAGATACAAGACACACAGTTAACTATATACAAATATAATTCAAAGTTTTTATTCATATCCATAAGCTAGCCAAAACCACTGGTTGTATCAAGTCTGAAGGGAAATGGTACATGTCTTCTTTCTAGTTCTTCTGTTCCAAAATATTCCTGGAGGATCTTTGGTGTAGTTATTTCAACATTGCCAAAGATTCAAGACCACGCAGGACCTAGGAAAGGCTCTTGCCTCAGGTATGCATGACCCTGAGCTTCAGTAAAACTCAACTGGTGGGTCCTGAAGGTTTGGTCCTATCCAAATATCTCCATTGAAGAGAACAGTACAAATACTCTAAGCTAATACATGTCTGATTTATGGTCTTGGGTATCAATTTGGTATTGTGTCCAAATACTGGTGACAAGAAGAATATAATCAAACATTCTTGATTCTTAGTTTGATATAAATTTAAAAGTTAGTAAGTTCTTTCTTTCACATCAACTATTTTTAGACACAGTTGGCAGGCCATATGGATATATTTCTAGTTCTTTATTTCTAGTAAGGTTTTATTTAAAAAGAAAAACACAGACTAATGCTAAAGCTTTCAAATTAGTGCAGATTTCAATGCTAGCCATTTAGATGCTCACAGGATGCTTTTGACACTTTCATTTGCCTACATGGAGAGTTTTTTTCTCTCCCAGTAGCACCTTGGATACACACCTGCCTGTTTAAAATCAGGCATACAAAAGAGAAAGTGCTGATGAATTTGGTGCTGTCTAGACAAGTATACTACAGTGCAGTGTTGGGCCAGTGGTTGCCATGGTAATGCACAAATAAGCTTTTACAGCTCTGCTAAATAGTGAGTTGTGGATGCTTCCTTTACGATAGACAATTCCCCCCAACCCCCCCATCCCCTGCCACCTTGAAATGTGAATTGCCAAAGACAATCTGACTAACTGTAAGACATGGAACCATGGCATCCAACGATATTTCAGTGCGTAAGATGAATGCCATGCTTTAATGTTCCTTGTCAAAGTAATTCATTTTCTTTGCCATTTGTCAGCAGAGTTACAAGTTCCTCATTATGTAGCAGAGGAGCCTGAGCCTAAGAAACAGCAGTGAATGGGCAGGAAATTTAGTGTTTTCATTTGCTTCAATAAATGATAGCTTTGGGGTCTTTTTCTCATTAGAGTTATGCCTTTCTTCCTTTGAACTAATAGTTTTGGATCTCATACTCTTCACTGGCCCTGGGTTAACCTCTGGTGTACAAATTTGGGTTTGAGATTACCTCTTTGCTCAATGAGCTGATAGTTTTGTGGGTAACACAGAGAAACTGAGCACTGCAAAGCAGATTTGGATAAGTGGTACATGTGACAAGCAGGGAGCTTCTGGAACACACAGATATGAACAAAACTCAGTCCTAGAAGGACAGTGAAAGCACCCTGGTAGACATGGTATCTAGCCTGTAGGACGATAGGAGGAATCCAAGCAAAGTGGTGAAAAGCATACCAAGAAGAGGGAACAGGGGATGCAAATTTTCAGAGGCACTAGGGAAAAAACACGGTGTTCCAGTCAGCTGAAGAAATTGAGGGAGGAATGTAGAGTGTAATAGGCTGTGTGAGGGAGGAGAGTAAAGAGAGGTGAGTCTTCAAAGGTAAGCAGGGTTATACTTATGAGATCTTAGCTATGTTTAAAGTTTGGAACTTTATCTTAAAAGCACTGAGGAGCCAATGAAAGCTTTAAGCAGAGGAGTAACACTTTTTAGAAACTTACTTCTAATTGCAGTATGGACAATGAATTGGAAGACAGCAAGATTGGAGGCAGGAAGAAGAGTTACATAGGCTTTTTTAGTAGCCAACAGCTTGTCAAATTCAGGGATATTTTTTGAATTATTATCTTATCCATCTGTAGTGAAGACTGTTAGTGGTCCTTCCATATCATGCTTTATTATATATAGTAAGAAGTTGAAATTCATCTGGGCACATAGCTGCCCAGCTGAAATATACATTTTCTAGACTCCCTTGTAGCTAGGTGTGGCCATGGGATCTAAACTGATATGATACATACAACTCTTAAGGCAAGCCCTGCCCATTTTCCTTTTCTTCCTTCCCGCAGTCTTGAATAAAAATGTATGCAAGAAGTGAAGGAATTACCTTAGACTATGAGATGGAAGCCCAGTGCCAAGGAAGCAGAGCAATAAGGCTGAAGGGGCCTGGGACACTGATGATTGTGGACTCACCATATTAGCCCTGAACCATCTAACACTGTCATTTTGATTTCTCAGTTACAGAAGCTAAACTAGTATCCTAATACACTGTCTTTATGTCATTTGACAGTTAATCACTTTCTCCATAAACTATACTACCTCTTCTTCATGACAAGTTCCGTGTCTACCTCTCTACAGCTTATAATCTATCTACCCATCCATGTCTTTGTCCTTTAGCCACTATTTAGTAGCTATAACTTCATCCTTTAGCTACTCTCTATTTAGTAGTTTTCTTGAATTCTCTTTGTCTTTTTCCCGTTGTGGGTGTGATTCAAGGCTCTGTTCTACACTTCCTGCTTTGGACTCATGACTTTATTCAATACAGCCAGCTTCCAATTTTATATTTTAGCCTGATCTTTATCTAGACTCATTTTCAAATGTCTGCAGCATATTTCCATTTATGTCTCTAACTATCATTTCCAAACCATCATATCCCAAACAAAGCTTGTCATTTTCTTCTCCTCACCCACATGATTCCACTTCTTGGGCCTGTCTTTTCTTTCCAAGGCAATATTATTTTTTTTTCTACCTTGTCAGCCCCAAAATCTTATGGTTAACCTTTACTGCCTCCCTTCCCTTCATCTCTTGTGTCTTGTTGCTTTGATTTGTTTCAAATGACAGTTATATTCGGTTCTTCCTATTATTGTTGCCAGTTTTCAATTGAGCCTGCTAGCTGAGTCTCCTTCTTCCATTCTCTTCCTTTACTACCCTTTTTGAAATATGTAAAGCTGTGACCAATTTCGTAAAACACCACTTTTCTTTTTCCCTTCAAGAACTGATGGAGGGTGTCTAGGTTTGATCACACCAGTTCCCTAAGAAAGACTGTAATGCAGTAGAAAGAATGAAGGTTTTAAAGTTTGACAAAACAGGGTTTGAATTACTAATTCATTAATCACTAGGTGTGTGATCTGTAGCAAATTTTTTACCACTTGAAGCTTAAATAGTGGCATGTAAGAAATAGAGATAGTAAGAATTCACATCTGGAGGTTATTGTTAGGCTCAAATAAGATACCTTGTGGGGTCTGGCACAGTCAGTGTCATTTTCCTACTGGGTCATGACAATCTAGTACTCCTATAGTCACAATGTCTAAGATATAGTTTCTTCTGCCTCAGGGTGACTATGCTCAGTTCCACCTCTGTACCTCTGCCTACATTGAGGCATAGATATGTATATGACATATGTATATCCCATAAGATATGTCTTTCCTTTTTTATTCAACAAATATTTATTAAGAGCCTTCAATGTGCCAGGCACTGTTCCAGCCACTTACTTAAATCCTGCTCATTTTTATGACGTAGTCAAGCTCCATGAAGCCTCCTGCAGATACTCTGGTGTTCTACAACAGTAAAATACATATGCCCCCACAAAAGGGAAGTGGCTTTCCTAAGGTTACCAAAGTCATTAATAGAATGGAATTTTATATATACGTATGTGTGTGTACATATATAGAGAGTTCCAATATAAAGAGAGAAAGAGAGAGAGAGACAGACTGACCACCTTTTCTTTATCCGTTGATCTGTTGATGGACACTTAGGTTGATTCCATATCTTGGCTTTTGTGACTATTACTGCAATTAACGTGAAAGTGCAGAGAGTAGAAGGGTGGTTATCAGAGGCTGGGGTGGTAGGGAAGTTGGAGATGTTGATCAAAGGATACAAAATTTCCCTTAGAAAGAATAAGCTAAAGAGACCTATTGTGCAACATGGTGACTATAGTTAATATATTGTATTCTTGAAAAATGCTAAGAGTAAATTTTAAGTGTTCTAATGACACAAAATAACTGTGTGAGGTAATGTATACATTAGCTCATGTTTTCCATTCCATAATGAGCATGTATTTCAAAACACCATGTTGTACATGATAAGTATAAACACTTTTGTCAACTTAAAATAAAATGTTTTAAAAAGAGACAATGTCCTGTAAGACATGAATACTAGTATGGTTTGAATGTGTGTCCCTTCCAAAATTCATGTTGAAACTTACCCCCCATTGTGGTAGTAGTAAGAGGCGGTGCCTTTGGGGAAGTGATTAAGTCATGAAGCTCCACCCTCATGAGTGGAGTAGTGCCTTATAAAAGAGCTGGAGGGAACTAGCTTAGGTCCTTTTTGCCTTTCTATATTCCACCAGGTGAGGAGTTCTAGAGATCACCTTAGGGGATTCAGCTGTTAACAATAAGACTTTTTCTCCCAATGGTGGTGGAAGGTAAGGAAGGATGGCAAGTGAGGGAGTGTTATGTGATTTTTCTAGCTTCACATGTATAGTCTATTTTTTTGTATCTCTTGCTGTTGCATCAGAGCCTCTAAGAGGGCCTCAGAATTTATCAGTATTACGCTGCTGCCTTACATCTTCTAGTGTATGTGAGGTCCCCTTCACACTCTGACGAGGGGCGCAGTCTCAAATACTGGCACAGCCTCAAAGCTGAACATTTGCAGCATCTTAGAGATTCTCAGGTTTACAATCACCCTGTTTATGATCATTACTCTTGATAATTTAAATATTCTTCTTGTCAAATGAAGAGACATTTATGAAGTACCTATTATGAGCAAAGCATGCTATTGAGGTTGTATTTAAAGCCGGGAGTCCTGGGTTTTAGTTCCATCCCATCAATGACCTTGGGACCTTAGGAAAGCCCTTTCCATTTTTTGTGGGGGAGGGGGTGTGTATGTATTTTACTAGCAAATTGGGAGGTAAGTCTTCCTTAGGGTAATATGTTCTGTGACTCAATACAGTGTCATTGTTTTTGGAGTGTACAAGCAGGACATTAAACCATTACAAGTGGACACTGGAACATGGACTCTGGAGCCAGATCACTAAGGTTCAAATCTTGGCTCTGCCACTTTAGTCCTGTGTGACCTTGAGAAAATCACTAAACCTCTCTGTGCCTAGATCCCTTAAAGTAGATAGAGTGAGAGAAGCTTCCTCAAAGGGTTGTTGGGAGGACTGAAAGAGCTTATTGAAGAACTTCATACAAAGGGACATGCATGAGAGAACTGCTTGGGGTGGTGGAAGCACTCTATATATCCTGGTTGTGGTGATGGTGGTGGTGGTCATACTACTTTATACTCTTGTTAGAACTCAGAACTGTATACTTAAAAAGAGTTAATTTACCATAAGAAACCTGATTTTAAAAATAAATGTATGATTCCAACTATATAACATTCTAGGAAAGGCAAAACTATATAGACAGTAGAAAAATCAATGATTTCCAGGGGTTAGGAGGTAGGGAAGCAGGGATGAATAGGTGGAGCACAGGGAAATTTTAGGGCAGTGAAACTATTCTTTATCGTACTGCAGTGGTGGACACATTGTCATTATACATTTGTCAAAACCCATAGAATGTACAATGTTGAGTGAACCCTAATGTAAACTATAATCGTTAATAATAATGTATAAATATTGGCTCACCAGTTGTTAACAAATATACCACATCAATGCAAGATGTTAATAATAAGGGGAGCTTTGGGAGGGGGGAGGGTTGTATATAAGAACCCTCTATGCTTTTCATTTAATTTTTTCATAAATCTAAAACTGTTCTGAAAAGTCAACTCAATTACAAAAAATTACAACTACCAAAAAAAGTTTTAAATAGAAGCACTCAGTAAGTTTGTTACTATTATTACTATTCCTTCCTATAAAAACAACCAAAGTGTCTCTTTTTCTTTCTTCTTTTTTTTTTCTTAAAACCATGCTGAGATACCTAGGCTTGGGCTGGATCTCAGGGAGATAAGTGAAAGAAAAGGCAACAGAGGGTGGTTCCTCCCCATACAAACTTCTTAAATACTTATTTTTAAGGTTAATATAAGCTTATAAGTGTGTCCCTCTCTGAGCATCTGAGGTCTGAACTGCACATGGAAGCTGCTCTTTTCTCCTGAGCTGCTCTTGCGCACCATGATTCAGCCACAGATGCTCTTTCTCGTTTCATGATGTGTCTGCCGGAACTGAAGACATGCAACAGCCAATTAAATATCACATTTTCAGTGCCCTTGGGAAAACCATACAGGAAACAGACTGTGTTTATATCTCACACCTCTGGGGAGGCTGCACAAGCTGAAAGCAATGTAGGATTTTTCCTTCTCTTTATTCTCAAAGAAGAATTAAAAACAAAAATCCAAGCCACCCAGCCACCCAAAACAAACAAGAAAAATGTAGTTTCAAATATAGAAACACTCTCCTTCATGATGAATTTGCATGTGGGAGAATTGTCATAAAGTCTGTGAAAAATCTGGCCACAAGCTTTTTAATTTGAGGGGCTCAGCAGTTCTTCATGCTGAGAGTTATTAGAGCACATATCCCAAGTCCACCCAGCCCGGGGCCAACCTTTCCTTGGCTCTGTCAGGGAGCACTTTGTAGGGTTTCACCTGCTGATGGAGCCCTAGTTGACAAGCTCATAGTGAGGGTGTGAGCACTCCCAGGGTGCCAGAAGTCTGGCAGCCCAGGTTCACTGAGATGAGTAGTCTTTGTGAAGCTGTAGACAGGCTACATAATCTCCCCGAGCTTCACTGTTTACATTGGTGAAACATGTGGGTTAGACTAGAAAATCTCTAGGGTGCCTTCCAGCCCCACCATCCTGTGATTCCAAATTCCAATTCAGTGGTTTTCCAGAGCTGAAATCCTTTGTGAAAAATAGTTCTAATCAATTAATTCATGTATATGTCTGTTTCTCAATTTCTATTTTTTCATTGCGTAAGTGAAACATGAAAATGAATAATAAAACATGAAAAAAACTTGACAGATAAGGCCAGAGCCCCTCTGATTACCAGCTCTGTTACCTTCCCTTCTGCCCTTTCCCAGAAATAACCACTGCTATTACTCTGCATGTATTCTTCCAGATCTTTACACACCCATATAGATCCAGAGAAAATAGGCAATATTGTTTTCAGTTTTTACGTAAATAATATTAGTTGTTTTATTTTTAATAGCTATGTACTATTCCATAGTATGAATAAATTCTTGTTTATTCATCTACCTCCCTACCAATGTTTATTCAGGTCACTGATTTTTTTTTATTAATATGATACAATCAATGCCTCATGGTGAATGAGTGGGTACATTTTTCTAAAGTAGACACCAGTAAGTGGAACTCCTGAATTAATTACTTCAATTTAATAGGTATTAAATTGTTCCAGAAAGTGTCTATGCCAAATTGTACACCTATAAGGAATACATTTTCAAAGGGTCAGGTAGACTAATGGTTAAAAACATAGGATCTGGAAACAGACTGCCTACCAACGCTTATTGGTTTGGGACTTTGATCAAGATATTTTCCCTGTGCCTGTGTTTCCACATATATAAAATAGAAATAAAATGCTTATACATGATAATTTGTTCTAGGGATTATTAGCACAGTTGTCGGCACAGGTAATTAATCAATGTTAGCTCTAATCACTATTTTTACTAGCTTTGGTTTGAGGAGCTTCAAGCTTTTTAACCAAATAGGTCTATAATCCCACCTCCCAAATCACTCAATGAGTCAACATTTTTCCAGACCCAGAGGTTAAATGCCTGCTGGGCTCATTTAACTCACACTTCTTTATCTTTCTGTGAAGTGAAGCCAGCAGGGCCCTGACTGACAGGCCACCAGAGCCTGTTTGTACAACAATCTTTGCTAATGTAAATAGCTAAATGCAAACTGCAACATCTAAGAACCTTCAGGGGATTTGAGGATGTTCTTGGAAGGGGCTGATTTCATTAATATTTAAGAAGCAAAAGACCTCCAACACAGACCATCCTGATCCCACATGCAAAGCCACCCCTAGGGGTTGCAGGACCAGGACAAATCACACAGGGCCAACCTCCCCAATAATACTTTCATGCAGGCGAAATCAGGTGAAAATGCACACCAAATGTAGCTTGGAGGGGGAAAAAAAAGATGAAAGAAAACTGTTTGCAGCTGAAAGGAAGTTTGTGAAGAATGAAGGTCCTGTTTTGTCTACTTTTCTTTGATGTTACTAGAGAACACCTGAGCATGGACAGACCCTGGGTGGGCCAGCTTTGGTTAACTTGCTGGGCACCAGCTGGAGAGGCCTCTCTCCATTTTGTTCCTCCCTCTTTTGCTAGTTGTATACTAGTACACCTGCCACTGAGGCAAGGGGAAGCATGGTGGGGGATCTGGGAGGTTTCCAGCGAGGATGCTGTCTGCTCACAGAGAAGCTCATCCCAAAGGGTTACCAAATCTAGCTGCTTTCAAAGGGATCGTAAACATATGAACTAGATTTTATTTTAGTAAAACTTTACAGAATAATTACTGATGCCTAGAAAGGTTAATGGACTTGCTTAAGGTCATACAGATAGTGTCAGAGCCTCTAAAGGACCCAATGTGTGTTTCACAGCCTAATGCCCTTTCCACACATGACACTCACTTTTTAATATACACAATAAGCGACCTAAACAAAAAACTCATATTCTTATATTAAAGCTCCTAAGACATAAATTTATTCTCAGACATATGGCTTGGACTTTGGTGTTCTGTATAAAGTACTGTGTTCGAAGCAGTATGATGGGAGATTAAGAGGAAAGGTTGAGAGTGTCACCAAATCTCCATCTGAATTCCAGAGCCCATGTTAGTAACTAATCTGCACACTGCCTTTACTAGAAGGAATGCATTCTATCCTTAGCTCAACTACCTGACCACCTGGGACAGTGCCTACTGGTACCCTAAATAATCACCAAGTTGATTGTATTGGGGCATTCAAATTTGCCTATTTTATGATACGAAGATTTTTTTTTTTTAACTTGAAAAAAACCGACTGGTTTGATGACTTGCTTCAGAGACATTGAAAGAACATTTAAACTTAAATCCTTGCCCTCTTTTCAGCTTCCTTTTGACAAAAAGTAAAGTTGTATTGATTGGTTGGCGGCTGGTTGAGTAGTCATGCTTTCAACATGCAGTTGTCGTCTACTCTGTGCTAGATTGTTTTTATAAGTTTGATGCCAGCCCCAGTATGTCTTGATTTTAAGTTGCTTTTGTTTCTGTATGTTTCAGTTTAGCCTTTTTGTAATTTTACCTCAGATTTTTATGTTTATAGAAACATGCTAAATATTGCTGCATAATGACAAAACACAGCTGTAATAGGAAATTTCCCCAGAATCCAAAGTGCTTGTGCTTGATTTACAAATGGAAGCTAGCCTGCAGGTTTCCCTGGAAAGCAGGGCTGGGAGTGCCGAGAGGAAGCGTGGGAGTCTTGTCCTAGTGTTTGTCACCCCACAGTGTGGGCCATAGCAGCACTATGTCCAGAAGTTTATCTGAGCAGGAAGTAGGTCAGGCCTTGGGGCCATGTGGTGCTGTGTAGTACGGGCTTTACTGTGAGCACAAGGTGTGCTTGTTATAGACAGGAGAGCAGAATCCAAAAGCCAATGATAGTTCTTCAGCCCACATGATGGTTGTCCTACCTCTGAACTACTGGCCTTAAAATAACTTAAGTGTCACATAACTTATCACGTAGTGAAAAAATGAAGCATTTTCCATAAATACTCCTGAAATCAAACTCTAGTAGTCTTAAGCTTCCTGAGGGTGTGGATCATATGGTAGTCTCACCCTACTGTCAGCTGTGTATCGGGGTGATGGGTGTAGAGTAGGTGATCAATAAAATATCCAACTGATCACTAAATTGTCTTCTTTGGGACACAGAAATTCCTTGAATTCTTTTCACCACTCTCTGGAATAGAAGCTCCACAAGTAGATGGCTTTTTGTTGGTTTTGTTCACTGCTAGATCCCTAGCTTCTAGAAAAGTGATTACAACACAGTAAGAACTTAATAAATATTTGTTAAATGAGAAAATAAATGGATGCATATGCTGTTTTCTGTTTTCCTCAGGATGGCAGCAGAGAGAAAATGAGTAGCTGTCTACCTTCCTATAGCACATAAAAGCAATAGGAAGTGACAATAGCCACTGTCCCAAGTGGGAGTCTCTTTCAATACCAAGCCTGGAATCAACTCCAAAGGAGATTAAAAAAAAAAAAAGACCCATTCAGTCCTCTGCTATTTGAGTCTACTTTATAACTAACATGCTCACTTTCAGACTGCAATACCTAAAAATGAGAAAATGACAGGGAGCAATGGTTCTCTGAGTTTCCTACAACCAGCATCATCAACGTTGCCGGGAACTTGATAGAAATGCTCATTTTTATGTATTACACCAGACCTACTGAGTCTGAAACTCTGGAGGTAGAGCCAGTAGTTGGTGTTTTAACCAGCCTCCCAGGTGATTCTGATGCACACTCGTTTAAGAAACACTACTTAGAGGTCTGGGGTGCATGTTTCTACACTCCCCTCCCTCCCCTGCAGTAAGGTTTCTTTCTATTTTATTTCCTTTTACTTTTCTCTCCCTACATGATCTGGTTTTTCCACAACCCGGGTCTCTCCCACCAAGTCCAGAGCACCCACATTAACTGGTCTAGTCTCATCCTATATGTCTTGGTAGCATCTGTGTTCAGCTTTTGACTGAAAGGAGTAGGGTAGCTCTCATGAAGAAATCTAGACAAAAATATTTAGCAAACATAAGAATTTAGCCTGTAATCCCAGCACTTGGGGAGTCTGAACAGGAGCATCGCTTCAGCCCAGGAATTCAAAGTTGCTGTGAGCCATGAGAACACCACTGCACTCCTGCCTAGGCAAGAGATTGAGACCCTGACTCAAAAGAATTTGGGAGCTAGTAGGGGCTTTCTCGATCATAAGGTCTGATTCATTCACTTTAATATACAAGGAAAATGAGTCTAAGACTAAATATCTTACCCCAAATCAAAGACTGTTAAAAGGCTAGAACTTGATCTGGCCATTTTTAAACAAGATTCCTCTACCATTATGCTAAAATGCTCCAAACAACCTTACGAGCATCAACCACCAACAAGAATACATAAAACATTTCTATGGTTTAGTAATTATCACAAAAACCTTCAAATTCATTCCCATTTACCACCAAGAAGGCAAAGGGAAAGGTAATATATGAATAACCAGCCAAAGAACCAGTCATAAAAAATAAATGAGCCAAGAAAGTTCTTTTCCCTTCTACTCCACAGCACTGCACAGGGGTAGATCCTGCTGCCCATGTGCCTCTGGTATCCTCTACCATCAGCTGACTTACATAATGTGAATTGTTGAGACTGAAGAAGATGGTTAAAGAGGTCATTCCCAGTACTTCAAATTATAGCTTACACAGCTAGCTCCTTGTCTCTCACCCATTGAAAAGCCTTTATCTAGGAAGGAGTCATTCTGAACAAAGATTGTTGTCTTTGGCTGCTAGACACTCAGAAAGGGAGTTCACAGTATGAAGTAGTTATTAGTTGTAGCTAGCCAAAAAAATCTCAGGCACAATTTAAATGGTGCAACAAAATATCCATCCAAAGAAAGGGAAATGATAAAAAGTTTAGAAAGGCAAATTGCTTTAAGAATGCAAAAAATTTTGCCAAGGAAAAAAGTCAATATTTGAATCAGAGATGAGAGTGTGCCAGGGCAGCTCTGTCCCATAAGATCTCCTCTGGCTATTTAGTGCAAATTAGGAAACCAAGGCTGGAAGCTTGTTAGAGGCCATGAGGGATGAAGGTTGAGAGACAGGTCTTAAAATGGCAATGCTAATGGGATCTGGAGTCAGGCACAACCTTGTACCCCGCTGGCTCACCCCTCTTCTACCCTACCGTACCTGTAGGTATTTATTTTTCTAAAAACTGAAAGAGGTCAAGCCCGGCCATGCTGAAAACAGAATGGTTCCAGGAATCTTGCTGAGAAGTCCAAAAATATCTACCATCCCACAGGCAACTTTATCTGTCCAGTCTTTTTAAATCAGGTCATCCTCCTAACAGTGCCATGGCAATTCTGTTTCTTGGGGGGCAGTAAACATAAACCTAAATTAATTCAGGATCAAAGCACAGGTCATGTCATATATTTTATTAGCATTCTTACTCTCCATCAATTTGATTTTAGAGGCTCACCCAAATTTCTTTCAGACTTCAGGTCTGTGGGCTAATTTTCAGGGCAGGCAAGTACTCTGGAGCCTTCCTTATGATTCTCTTATTACATGCAAGTTGCATAATCACGTTGTGAGTGAAAAATGTTGTAATGAAATCCTTCTAGGACTTCCAGGAATAAACTTTCTTGGATGGGGTCCAAAATGAAATCACCTTATACTGAACTCAGGGATTATAGCAACAGTTGCAAGGCACCAGTGTGAGTATGTGTACTTGGGGAATAGGAAACACTTCTTTTGAGTTCTCTGTCTCCACAAATGATACCACTGTCTCCCTCAGACTACACTGAAGACCTTAGTGCCCCCTTTGATTGCCTCTTCCCGTTTACCTAGAGCCAACATTTCAGCAAGATCTGTCATGTGTTTCTTTGAACTATTTCTTCCATTTATGCCTTTTTCTTCATTGTATTGCACTTTAATCCTAGATATCATCAGTTAGTGATGAGACCCAGGGTCTCATTCTTTCTCACTATTCATTCCATTTGCACTTTATCCATTCTAGCAATTTATACTTTAATCTTGAGTCCAGTCAGTTAGTGCTTAGGTTACTGCAGAAATTGCCTAGCTGGCCTCCCAGAGTCCAGTCTCTCTCTCTCTCTCCTTCAATCTGTCATAAGCTCAGCTTCCAGTTGGTACCCAAAGGAAATTTCTTTGCATCTTTTTCAGAGCAATCCCTAGCAATATTCCATATTTCTAACTTTATTTCCTATTTGTCACCTGACATATAATAGACACCATTTAAAAATGACAATGTGAAAACTAGCTGTGTTAGGAAGGGATGGATAATTCATATGAAAACACTTTATATATTCAGAAGCCATTACACCAAAGCAAAGAATCAAATAAACAAATCTTTCAAAAACACTTAGGAAACATTTGTAACATGGCTTTTATCTAAACTAAGGTTCATGGCTCATAAAACATTTCAACAATGATTGCTCTGGAAGTGGGATAAAGATGGTGTTCTGAGAACACAAGACTGTGTCTACTTCTGCCACAAAGCTTTAGAAATGGCCAGGAAAATAATCTTAAAATTGTAAAAACAAAGAAAAACCAAAAAAGTATAAGGAATCCCTGGAAGAAATAGATGGGAAAGAAATAGTAGAGGAAGCCACAAGCTAGCGTGCATTCAGAAGTGAACTGCTCTGAAAGTAGGAAGTACCAAAGGCACCAGGAACTCAGAGACCTCAGGTACAGAGATCAGGAAGTTTCCTAGAGCACCTGCCATGAGGTGGGTTTGGGTTCTGCTTTGCAAACAGCCAGGTATGCAGCGTCCCCTCCCTAATTTCTGCTTGGGCCAAGCAGTGGCTGCCCAGGTCTTTGCCCCCAAATTAATGCATGAAATGCTTGGGCCAGAGAGGCATAGTAGTGACTCTGGTGGCTACTGATACGCCAGGGAAAAGAAGGTGCTAAAGGCAAAGAGAAGCTGATGCCATCCACCTAAAGACTCAACATCATGTTTTCAGGAAAGTCTTCCTTGATCTCCCAAGGGCTAGATAGGCTCCAGTATTTCTTTCTGTGCTTATTGTACCTTCCACAGATCTCCCTTGTATCAATTATCACTTTGCATCATATTTGATAGCAGAAGGAGCCATAACAAACATTACTGTGTCATTTTATGATTAGATTTCAGAACTATGAGAATAGAGCAGCTGCTGTATTGCTATAGAGAATAACTTGAAATGCTTTTCATTAGGTTATCTTAGACTCTAGTCTGAAATACATTTTGCTTTAGATGTAGGAATATGACCAATAACAATAGCTTGGATATAGTAGGTATGAAATAAATATTAATGATAATCCTAATCACGTTCCCCAGTAAAATTCTAAATATCCCACAAAAAGCTTTTAATAACAATGGAAAGCACAGCACAGATAGTTATTATAGTTCTGACTATGTAATATGTGATATAAAGGACATTACATCATTCAAATATCAAGTAAAAAATGAAATGAAATGGTGCATCTACATATGATTTTCTTATTTACCTTTTTAACATAATGACTATTCTTCTAAATACTTATAAAACTTATTTTTAAGAAATGAGTATAATTTTGGGAATACATTAATTTTTATCAATACGATTTATTAAGTCACATCATACAAGCAAATAATCAAGTGCAATTCTTTGTATAAAACCTCCATTGGGAGTAGATTCACTTGGCAATTATGTTTGGCAAGATGTCTACAATTTTAGACAAGAATTAAAACTCCCTGAGTATGGTTACAATGGATTTTGATTCCAGCATTTATCCATGCACAAATCATGTACATACATTTCTCCAATAGTAGGTAGATTTAAGGTGCATGCTGGTGCAGAAAACAGACTGTCATTGAAATATTTCCAAAGACATATGTCAGATAGCAGGGAAGCCAGCTAAGTATGTGCACCCACTTCTTTATTCCAGAAAAGGAAGCTGTAACTCTTTCCAAAGAATGACAGAGTACGGCGAGGCTTGCAGGGGCAGCTTTAGTCCTACTGAGACCTACAGGACACAGAGCTCTTTCCCTCAAGGCAGCAATATTGGGAGGTTGAGGGATGTATGACTGTTGCAAAACAGTTGGCAACGTTCTCGAAAAATTGCCTGCCTGGGCCATGCTGTATCTTTTTACACATTTATAAATCTTTTATAAATCATAGTCCAGAAGAAGATCAACTTTATTTATCCTTCAACTTTTATCACGTAACTCTTGTACAAAGTCCTGTGCTATGTTCTGGGAACACAGCAGTGAACATGACAGACAGGACTTAAAATATCGAGTTTACAATCTACTAAAGACGACAGACAAAACTACCCATGGCATTATTATTTGCTTATAATTGTGGTAAGTATAGCAGAAGAAAAAGTCAGGTGGAAGCATTTCGTATTTACAAAACAGGAGACAGCCAGTGTAGCTCATCTTATCCAAGAAAAAGGAGGGTGACACAAGAGGAGGTTTGCTGAGGTGAGCAGGATACTAGATCAGCTAGGGCATTAAAAGACATATGAAATATCTCGATACTGCTTCTAAGAGCAATGGCCATTAAGAGTGTTTAATTAGGGAATGGTATGATCTGATTTGCAATTTTAATGATCACTTTGACCTTAAGGTAGAAATAGATTCAAGAGGAGCAAGAATTAACCCTAGAGATCAGCTAGAAGGCTGTAGCAGTGTCCAGGTAAAAAATGGTGGTGGTTAGGCACAGAATAATGGTAGTAGAGAGAGAGAAACATGAAAAACATAGAGTAAGAGTTAAAATCAAGATGATTTGGTGATAGGTTAGACATGGAGAGTGAGTAAGAGAAGAAATGATTTCTTGGTCTCTCTTTGGGTGGTCTTCCATTCACAGATTACACTGGGTAGAAAAAAGATTTGAGTTCTATTTTATATGTGCTAAGTGGGATATACCCATAAATATCCAAATAGAGAAGTCGAGGTGAGTAGTTGGATACACAGATTTGGAAATCAGAAAAGAGGTCTGTGCTGAAAATGCACATTTGGGAATTATCTCCATAAATGGCTAAAGATTTGGGCATAGATGAGTTTGCTTCAAGATAACATAAATAAGAGAAAAGCAGGTCCAGGACCAAGCCTTAAGAAACTTTAACATTTAAAGTTTGAGGGCAGGATAATAAAACAATAACGAGTCTGAGAAATGGCGGCCAGAGAAAAAAGAGAAAAGCTATGAGAGTGTAGTATCACTGAATCAAGGTAAAGTAAGTACTTTAATAAGCAATCATAATTAATGTCAAGTAGTGATGAGAAGTTGAATAACATAAAGACCTTATTCTAATTATCTGGTCTTTCTTTCAAAGATGGCTCATACACATGGCCAGTAAATTAATGCTGGCTTTTGGCTAGAAACTCAATGGGGAGCTATCACCTGGGATCCTCAGTTCTTCTCCATGTGGGACTGTTTGGACTTCCTCATACCTTGGCAATTAGATCCAACTGCAAGTGTTCCAAGATATATGGAGTCTTAATGTCTGGGCTCAGAGACAAGCACAGCATCATTACTGCTATATTCTATTTGTCAGGCAGTTACAGAGCTCACAAAGATTCAAGAGAATGAGTCATAGACCACACTTCTTGAAGGAGAACTGTCAAGAAGGAGAACTGTCAAGAACTTCTTGAAGGAGAAGATCATGGCATCTCTAATCTACCAAAGACCGCAATACTTGACATGTTCAATCCTACTCACTGCACCATGTTTTGTAAGCACAAAAGATTGGATTTAAACTAAACATCCATTACTGGGGTCCTAAATAAGTAAATTAATTAAAATTTATAAGATGAAATACTATGTACCCAATGAAAAGATGGAAATACTTTTAATGTAATGTTGTGGAAGTATTGCCATGAGATATTATTGAGTTAAGAAGGCATGCAGTGCTCTCTTTTAGCTGAATAGTATCTCATGGCAATATATGAATATGAATAAAACATCTCTAAAACATGCATTTCTAATAGGGAGATATCACCCCCCAGAAGGGCAAAAAGTAGCTATTGGGGAAGGGCAGATCCTTAATCTTTTTGTATATAATGGAAAGACATACATATAATGAAAAAGCAGATAGACAGTATATCTGTATATTAAAACTGGAGCGGGGTGAAGTAATCTGAAAATAATGTATTTTTAAAAGATCTCCTTAGGGTAGTGATAATAAAAAAAAAGTTTGAGAAACACTGCTCTGAAAGGAACAAAGAAATGAGTCCAAATGGTTGCCTGAGAGTAGAAATGGATTATCAGGAAAAAAGAGAAGAATGAGAATATTCAATGTGTACTTTTATATTTTTTGATATTAGATCCATGGAAATATCGTACCTATCAAAATTTAAATTAAAAAAGGAAATTTAAAAAGGTTATTGATTTTATTTAATGACATACCATTATTGAGTAGGAACTCTTTCAGCATGTATTTTAGTGTATATAAATGTTACACTTTTAAAAGCCTAGTGTAGGCAAAGAAATACTAATTTTGCTCAGTTATCTTAGCTATTCAAAGGGGAAGTTGATAAAGTAAACTTTTTTTGTGTGAAATTCTGTCTATTATTATTATTGTGTATTCAAATAAAGCAGTTTTAAAAGACAAGTTAGTGTGTGTACCTGCCTCGTTCTGAAGCAATAGACAGCATGCTCCTCTCCCAGAGCTGTGAAGGACCACTACAGTTCTCCCAGTGCTAAAGTGTTTCCTCCTTCATACCCCAGGATGGGAGAAGCAAGTATAAGATGCAGAGAGGTGGATGCAATGTGGACAACAAAAGCCCTTAGTAACATCTAGATTTGCAAAAATTTTTTCTAAAGTGTATCAGTGGTATAGCTCACACAACAAGACAACATGGTCATCATAAATGCTTGGCAGTCCTCTTGCAGTACTACACAAAAAGCAAACCAAGTATGTCCTTGTTGTAATCTCCACTCGTGAACATTGAAAATACATGGGAGGGTTGTAGCTCTTCAACTGCTAAAGCCACCAGGGATGAGCAACATTAGACTTAACTCTGGTATGTGAATGGCAACATGTAACACTGAGAGCTTGACCATATTCTACTGAATCACCTCGCCCAGTATTGCAAGCAGCAACCCATGGCATAGGCCACATGACATTATGATGGCACTAAGACTAATAGAGAGCTGCCTGAAAAGATAAAGAGACTTGGAAGCAATAAATAGTTATGACTTAGCCTAATACTGATCTTGCAAAATCGTAGCTATTTGTCATCAGAGTTCCTGTCTTTCTTCAGTGATCCCAGTTGATATGGGTAAAGCTGAATTCTAATTGCATGGAAACTCCACAGAGAGCACTGTGAGGTAACGTGGATACAAAGCACTGAAATTAATTTTAAAAGTTCACTTAGACAATTCATCCTTCCCCAGACTTACTTCCAAGTCACATCATGAGCAACTTTGATCAAAACTACATTTTGGAGAAGACTATAAATATATGTGACACAGGTCTAGATCATAAACTGTTCAACAATGCATAAAAACTAATGCTAAAATACACGATGGGGACACATAGCCATTCTCTGCCAACTTTAGATGCATTCCATTGCCTTAAAATGCAGAGCTCTCTTGTGGCTTTCTCTATGGACACTCAGGTAGGACTTGTTAGAAAGACATAGGCATGGGCAAGGACTTCATGTCTAAAACACCAAAAGCAATGGCAACAAAAGCCAAAATGGACAAATGGGATCTAATTAAACTAAAGAGCTTCTGCACAGCAAAAGAAACTACCATCAGAGTGAACAGGCAACCTATAGAATGGGAGAAAATTTTTGCAACCTACTCATCTGACAAAGGGCTAATATCCACAATCTACAATGAACTCAAACAAATTTACGAGAAAAAAAAACCCGATCAAAAAGTGAGCAAAGGATATGAAAAGACACTTCTCAAAAGAAGACATTTATGCAGGCAAAAGACACATGAAAAAATGTTCATCATCACTGGCCATCAGAGAAATGCAAATTAAAATCACAATGAGATACCATCTCACACCAGTTAGAATGCCGATCATTAAAAAGTCAGGAAACAACAGGTGCTGGACAGGATGTGGAGAAAGAGGAACACTTACACTGTTGGTGGGACTGTAAACTAGTTCAACCATTGTGGAAGTCGGTGTGGCAATTCCTCAGGGATCTAGAACTAGAAATACCGTTTGACCCAGCCATCCCATTACTGGGTATATACCCAAAGGATTATAAATCATGCTGCTACAAAGACACATGCACACGTATGTTTATTGCGGCACTATTCACAATAGCAAAGACTTGGAACCAACCCAAATGTCCAACAATGATAGACTGGATTAAGAAAATGTGGCACATATACACCATGGAATACTATGCAGCCATAAAAAATGATGAGTTCATGTCCTTTGTAGGGACATGGATGAAGCTGGAAACCATCATTCTCAGCAAACGATCGCAAGGACAAAAAACCAAACACCGCATGTTCTCACTCATAGGTGGGAATTGAACAATGAGAACACATGGACACAGGAAGGGGAACATCACACACCGGGGCCTGTTGTGGGGTGGGGGGAAGGGGGAGGGATAGCATTTGGAGATATACCTAATGTTAAATGACGAGTTACTGGGTGCAGCACACCAACATGGCACATGTATACATACGTAACTAACCTGCACGTTGTGCACATGTACCCTAGAACTTTAATTAAAAAAAAAAAAAAGAAGGTGATGGTTAATATTCAGCTAACCTGTTGTCTTAGCTTGGGCTGTCACAACAAAATACCATAGACTGAGTGGCTTAAACAACAGACATTGATTTTCTCATGGATCTAAAGACTGGAAGTCTGAGATCAGAGTGCCAGCAAGGTCAGGTTCTGGCAAAGGCTCTCTTCCTCTCTTTGCAGACTTAATCTTCCTGCTGTGTGCTCACATGGGTTTTTCTTCATGCATGCATGGGGAGGACGCACTTCCTTGCACGTGCTCACTTGCTCTCTCTCCCCCTCCCTCCCTATAAGGCCACCAATGCTGTTGGATTAGGACCCCACCCTTATGGTCTTATTTAGCCTTACTTACTCCTAAAAACCTTATCTTCAAATATTGTGTGAGATCTTGGGTGTTAGTGTTTCAATATATGAATTGGGGATGGGGAGCACAATTCAGTTCATAGCACCTATAAATATAGAGCAAGAAATGTTTAAATATCAGCAAGGAAATTTTTGGTTGAATATTAGGGAGATTAAGAGTCACATAGGAGTTTGAGAAACAGAGCCATCGAATAAGAAAACAAAACAGAATAAAATATGGTACCCTTATCTGATGCTGTATGCCCCCTTTAATAGTAAGTACACATCCTAGCCCTATGACAATAGTTTTTCTTTTTTTGAGAAAATTGAGGTAAAATTTATATAACAAAAATTACCATTTTAACCAGTTCAAACTGTATAATTTCATGACATCTAGTATATTCAAAATGATGTGCAATCATCACCTCTAATTCTAGAACACTTTTATAATTCCAAAAAGAATCCCCGTACCTGTTAAATAGTCACTACCCATTTCCCCTATCCCTAGTCCCTGGTGTTGGTCTTATAAAGTTCAAGAAAGAAAGTTATAAAGGTACTCTCATTTTTAAAAATGAGAAAAAAAAGATGGCATTTTAAAAGCTAATGGAAACACTAACTCAAAGACAAACATCGCGTCTTTATCTCATTTCATTATGGAAAAGACAACTTCATGGAAACGTGGAATCAGAGATAATACAGAGGATGTCAGTCTCCAGTGTCTTTCCAAATGTGTTTTACCAAACAACTAAAAAAAGTTATAGCTAGCATGCTCTCATACACCCTTCTCAACAAGGAAACAAACAAATTTAATGTTGAAATAAGTTAGGAAATCCTAAGTTAAACTGTTAACAGATTTCTTTGCAGAGCAAAGAAAATGAATAGAACACCAGTAAGGAGGTTTTTGTTCTTTGTTTTTGTCATCACTGTAGAATACGAGTTGCAAACTAGTGATTTTTCACGGCAAATGGACCAAACTCCCAAATGGATTTTGTTTTTCAAAGAAATTGAGCCATAAATTTCACACAAAATTATAGATTTCTAGCTTCAGTTAAAAATACTGTGTTAAGTGGCAATATATAGCCATTGATAACAATGAGGTGAAGATGAGAGACAACTGCTGTTTTTAGAAGAGCCATGCATGTCTGAGTTTACTACAGCACTTAGCTGGTCCATTTTCATCACCTGTCAGCTGCCTGACCCCTGATGGAACTTGAACTTGCCTCTTCTATTACAGAACTGCCTCTGCAGATAGGTTGCAGAGATGTGTTCTTTCAATGACACTTCAAACACAAATTCATCTAAATGGCAGACAAATTTGAAGCATCATCCAGTTTTTCTTTTTTTTTTTTTTACCACAATTGTGAATTTTCCATACTCACAATGAAGGAGGGATGCTATTCCTAAGGATTTAGCAACATGAATTGCAAGTATAGGTTTTTGAGTAGTGGTCCAATGACAACACCTTACTATTTTTAAAGGCACCCAGATATTTCTGCTTGTGTGGCTAATAGCCATTGTATTTTGGGTCTTATCATAGAACACGCATGCTCACTTAGAACCTAGTAAGAAATACGTGGGAGCCACAAGGTGGGAATAATTTGAGCAATAGCAAATATTGCTATTTGTCTGTATGCAACTATGAGTCTGTATGCAAGTGCTTATGTCTCATACAGATATAGAAGTAGATATAGAATCTCCACACTCACACTAGTTGAGGAGAAGTATATATTGCCAACATCAGAGGAAGCAAGCGAAGCCTAGAGGCTCATTAAAAATGATTCATCTGCTCAGTGGGAGAGTAATTTTTAAAATTTCCTTACGTTCCATTTGTTGAAGTTCCATTTAAGTGTTATTTCAAATATATGTAGTTATGACCAATTTATTTAAATAAAAAAGGACTTTCCAAAATTAGTTCATTTACATTTCATCTTCCCTCTAAAACCCAATCGTACAGCTGCTTTTGAATTAATAGTAGTTAATGAAGTTTTAACTACCCTGGTCTTATCAGCAGTTGCATGGTGTGCTGGACTTGTTTATAGTTGGGCTATTCTTGGTTTTAGTGTAATACAGGTGATGCAGTATAATGTCATGGCTAACTCAGGCTCTACTGTCAGACAGGTCTGGGTTCAAATGCTCATGTGGAGAGAAAGAAAACGGAATCATGAGGATTCTCCTGAGGAGAAGCAATGGATTTGCTTGGAAGGGATATATTTTGAGAAGCATTATGGAGTAAAGAATGACACCCAAAGAGCATGCTCAAAAACAACAGAAGCAGGGAGCAAGGAGAGGAATTTGTTTCTTAACTGATGAAAGAGTAGGTAAAAAGAGGAGGGACCAGCCTAAAGTTGAGCAAATGTAAGAAATGACTCGTATGAATGAATTTCTTGATGAAGAAATATGTATCTGCAGCTGAGTCAATGCAGATCAGAAGAGACATTGTACACACGTTCCATTGTCTGTGACTTACTTTAAAGAACTTCAGCATAGATAGTGTTATATTGTGTATATGCCTCTTAAACTTCAACTCTCCAGGTAGACTATTGACCTAATAATGCCCTTGCAGGGGTGGCCAGCCAGCTTGTACCGACAGCTCTTGATACCTCCATGAACAACTAAGGCTTTTTAGCATGACATGAATAATTAGCACATTAGGCTGGGTGCAGTGGCTCATGCCTGTAAACCCAGCACTTTGGGAGGCTGAGGCAGGCAGATCCCTTGAGGTCAGGAGTTTGAGACCAGCCTGGCCAACATGGCGAAACCCTGTCTCTATTAAAAATACAAAATCAGCCAGGCGTGGTGGCACACACCTGTAGTCCCAGCTACCCAGGAGGCTGAGGAAGGAGAATCACTTGAGCCCTGAGAGACAGAGATTGCAGTAAGCCAAGATTGTGCCACTGCACTCCAGCCTGGTTAAAAGAGCAAGATTCTGACTCAAAAAGAAAAAAAGAAAATTAGCACATCAAATGAATTTTCTTGCGTGAAACTAATGGCTTAATTAGCATGATTAATTTTTAAAAATTGATTTCATTGGTAAAATTAAAAGGTCTTCGGTATGTCTGGATTGGTTAAAATATTACATAAATACAAATTATGGATTGTATGCCAACATACCAAAAGGTATGTTGATGTCCTAACCTCCAGCACCTTATTTGGACCTTATTTGGAAGGGATATAATCCGTTAAGACAAGGTGGGCCATTTCCAGTATAACTGACATCCTTACAAGAAAAGAGAGAGACACACAGGAAAAATGCCACATGAAGATGGAGGCAGAGATTGGAGATATGCAGCTGCAAGCCAAGGACTGTCAAGGATTGAAGGCCACCACTGGAAGCTAAGAAGAGACATGCAAGAATTTTACCCAGAGTTTTATAGGAAGCATAGCCCTGCTGGTCCTTCAGTTTCTGACTTCTAGACTCCAGAACTAGTACAGTGTAAATTTTTAAAAGTACTTTGAAACTAACACAAGGCATAAAATTCTGGAAAGGTCTATAGCCTGAACCCTTAGGGCTGGCATCTGTATTAGTAAGGGTTCTCTAGAAAAACAGAACCAATGGCGTGTGTGTGTGTGTGTGTGTGTGTGTGTGTGTGTGTAGTCATGCATTGCTTAACAGGAATATGTTGTGAGAAAGGCGTGTTAGGCAACTTCATCATTGTGCAAATATCATAGAGTGTACATACACATAGTATATAGCCCACTACCCACTGAGGTTGTATGGTAGAGCCTATTGCTCTCCTAGGCTACAAACCTGTACAACGTGTTACTGCACTGAATTCTGTAGGCAATCATAGCACAATGATAAGTATTTGTATGTCTAAACATAGAAGAGGTATGGTAAAGATAAAAGATTTAAAAAATTGTATACTTGTACGGCACTTACCATGAACGGAGCTTGCAGGACTAGAAGTTGCTCTGGGTGAGTCAGTGAGTGAGTGGCGAGTGAATGTGAAGGCCTAGTACATTATACTACTGTAGATAGTAGACTTAGGCTACACTAAATATATTTTTTAAAATAGTTTTATTTCTCTAATAATACATTAATTGTAGCTTATTATAACTTACTTTGTAAACCTAATTTTAACTTTTTGACTATTGTAAGCTTAAAACACAAACACATTTTACAGTTATATCCTTATTCTATAAGTTTTTTCTATTTTAAAAAAATCTTTTAAAACATTTTTAAACTTTTTTGTTCAAAGCTAAGACACAAACCATCTATTAGCCCAGGCCTACGGTTGGGATCATCAAGATGTCACTAGGTGATACGAGTTTTTCAGCTCCATTATAATCTTATGGCACCACTGTCATATATGCAGTTTGTCATTGACCAAAATGTTATGTAGTACAGACTATATATATATATATATTTATATATATATGAAAATCTCGTTCTATATAGCATAACACTGCATAATGACGTTTCAGTGTGTGTATATATATCCTATTGGTTCCATTAGCATATATGTGTGCTTACCATATATATACACACACATATGTATAATCTTTCTGCTATTGGTTCCATTTCATATATATATATACAATCTATATATAGCATATATAAATAAATATATATACACACACATATATTTGAGACAGAGAGAGATTTATTATAAATTTGCTCAGGTGATTATGGGGGCTGCAAGTCTCAAGATCTGCAGGCTGAGCCAGCAACCTGGAGACCCAGAGAGTTGATGGTGTCGTTCCAGTCCAGAGGCCAGCATATCAGGTATCCAGGAAGAGGTAATGTTTCACTTCCTGCTCAAAGGCCATCAGACTGGAAGAATTCTCTCTTACTTGAGGGATGGTCAGCCTTTGTTCTTCTTCAAGTCTTCAGCTGATTGGGTGAGGCCTCTCCACATTGTGGAGGGCAACCTACTTTACTCAGTCCACTAATTTAAATGTATATATCATCCAAAAACACCCTCATGGAAACACCTATAATGACATTTGACCAAATATCTGGATATCCTCATGGTCCAGTCAAGTTGCCACATAAAATTAATCATCACTATATTCAAGCTTGATCTTTAGGAAGTCCGATGTCCGGCCACTATTTTAGGAGGATTGATGGTTGTCTGTGCCAGCTGTAAGGCTAGGAGAGTGTGTTGTCTGGAATATGGTCCTATCTGCTTGAGTGAACGTTTTGTACAAGGTATGGTTAGAACACCTTAAAGGACAAAATACTGAAACTTTCTAATTTATAGGTTTACAAACTGTGTTGGCCCTGCATACTGGTAACTGCTTGTTTAATAAATATTTGTATTTGTGACAGAATTTGAAGTGAGACTTGCTTTCACTTGTATCTTGACAGCAAGTTTTGAGAGGAAGTAGTTAGCCCTAACACTTCTCAGAAGTTTTCCTGGATTACATTAGCTACCAAAAGAACATAAGAGTAGTACATGACAAAATTCCTGGAAATGGCTTTGGATTTTCACAGGCTGGGGAACCATCAGCATTTCAGCCATTTTAACTTGGGTCTCAGGGATAAGGCATTCCCATTGTTATGTAGGTCGCATCACTTATTTAACTGCAAGGTATCATTGAGCTACTAAGCCTTCATTTGGACAATGGTAAACTGGGGAAATAAAAATACCTACCTCAATTGCTGTTGTGAAAATTAAATAGTGCAAGTAATATATTTATCATAATGCCTGCCTTGCACATCTTAAATATCCATTAAAGGATGCTATTATTATTTTTCATCTGCAAGTCAGAAGAATAACTGAGGAGAGATAAATGGGAGTGGTCATCAGAAAGGACACAGAGAAGAAGAACGGTATCAGTTTTCCATCACTACTGTAATAAATTACCATAAACTTATGGACTGAAAACCACACAAACTTATTATCTAATTGCTATATAGGCCAGAAGTCCAATGTGGGTCTCTTTGAGCTAAAATCAGGGTATCCACAAGCCATGTTCCTCTCTAGAGGATACTCCATTTTCTGCTCAAACTGTTGGAATGATTTGGTTCATTTCATTTGTAGGGGACAGAAGTCTCCAATTTCTTGCTGGCTGTAAACTGAAGGCTGTTCTCAGTTTCTGGAAGATACCTGCATTCCTTGGCTCCTGGCCCCTTCCTCCATCTTCAAAGCAAGCAATGACTGGTCAAGTCCTTCTCATACCTCTTCTCTCTGACGCACTCTTCTGACCTCCTGTTCCATTATTCAGGACTCATATGATCAGAATGGGCCTACCCAAATAATCCAGGATAATCCCCCCATGTCAAGATTCTTAACCTTAATAACTTCTGCAAATCCTTTTTGTCATGTAATGTATTCACAGGTTCAAGATGTTCCAATGTGGATATCTTTGGTGGGGGGCATTATTTTGCCTACTACAAGGGCTGTGGGAGAGACTGCAGGCAGAACACTAGTTACTCCATCAAATCTTGCATCTTCTTCCCACTCTCTTCCCATTCCCTCTGAATTTCTTTCTACAAACAAAGGTAGTCAGAGTCTCAGGTGGAGACAGAGACAAACAACAGCTTAAAGATGAGGCCTCACTGTTAGGGTGAGTGATTGTTATTCTGAATGTTCCCAGGGACGGGAGGGTGGGGAAAGGAAGTTGTTGATAGGGAGATTGGACACATAATTATCCACTTGCCCCAGAGCTAGTTCTCTGCAGGGTTCATTGGGGTATCCAATGAACAGGCCCAAGATAGGACATGTTCATTTTCATATATGTTTTAAATATAAGACGTGTTTTAAAACTCTCCATATACTGTTCTCTTTATCAGTCCAGATGTTAAAATGAATCACTTGTATTAACACTGTATGTGTGCTCTATGGTAAAACTAAGAACTCAATCTGGAAAAAACTAAAAACAATTATTTCATGAGTTCAAGATGGAAAAGTATAAACTCTTTCACTTATTGAGATCAATGTGCTTTGATTCTCAAATGACTTTTTCTCTCTCCAGTAACTTGCTCCTAAGAAGATAGTTTTCCACTAGAGTTGTTCCTTGCTTTGTGCATTTCATGGTAGGCCCAAGTGAGGGTAACCCTGTCTATGAAAAAATTTGGGGAATTTAACAGGCTTTTTCTAGATTGGCTTGTTGGGACTGGCATCAGGAGAATTAGGCTAAGGTGACTAAATCTTTGAGTAAAGACAGTAAAGACCTTTGGAGCCGGAAACCTTAGGATTGCTTGGGGCTGGAGTAGAGGAAGAGAGACACTTCTCCCTCCAAATCATCAGTTCTGAGAGTGAAGCATGACTAAGTTGATACCTTATGACCCATTTTTAGGCTTTTTCGGTGTTACCTTGCTTCTGGCCACCTGTCACAGGGTGGGTGCTTCAAAGACTGCTCTCTTCTATACTCCCCATTGTAAAGTGAACTAAATAGGATGATTCAGATAGGCTTGGAATGCCAGATCTAACACAATGATGTCCCTCTACTCTTGAGTAGGCTAGGATATCTGAAATCACATTACCAAAGATTTTTATTTTGGACTCCAAACTGTTAAGATGCAAATACCACAGATTAAGAAAAACAACCTTTCCCAGTCACTCATCTTTTGAACAAGATAATTATTTTATCAGAACTTTTCCAAAGAGTAGATTTGTATAAGAAGGATCATGGAGAAAGATCAAAAATGGGGATAAGCAGTGAAATCAGAAATAACAAAGACAAGGCATACTTACCAAAATTTTACCAAAAGCGATTTTTTCCCTTATTTTGTGACTTTATTTACTATGAAGCTTCTTAGAATTTTATCTTTCTAAAAGTTCCCTTAACTATTCAGTTTTAAAATAATACATACTCTAAAAACATCTTGTAATAATAGGCCTCTGAGGCAAATAGAAAAAGAAAAAGATAGATAGAAAATGCATTTTACCAGATCTGGAGTTATCAATTAATTAAAAAAAACTAAAAACCTCTCATTATCTTTTTCTGGAAAGCTGTCACTTTCCAGAAACGTATCAGGAAAAATAAAATAAAATTTGGATAACATAGAAATCTTATTGTGGTTTTCACCACTCAGAATATCACACAACAATTTATATAATGGCTCTTGGATGCAGAGCTCTGCCAGATAAAATTTCTTAGACCACCAGAAGTTTACTCCCTGTCTATGTATACTCCCAGTATATCTCATTACATTATAGATAAAACAGTATTACAATTTAAAAACATCATTCAGAAACAATCAAGCTAACCTAGCTCATCCCTTTTGGTACATTCTGCCTAACTCTCATTACACTTCTTACTAGTGGAAGTAATTTTAAATTAGTGGAAGGAGTTCCACCTCATGCTGGTGAAGCAGCCTTGTTGTCTGGGTGACAACTGAAGTTTGTTGTCTCATGGCCACAGAGATCAAGGATGTGGATACACAAAGAGTGAGGTTAAGAGCAGAAATTTAATAGGCAAAAAAAGAGAATAGCTCTCTCCTACAGAGAGGGGTCCTGGAAAAATGGATGGCCGATCTGCCGTGAAATGTAAGGGGTTTTATACATGAGCTGGTGGGGAGGCGGTGTCTGATCTACATAGAGCACAAATAACTGGTTAGGGCCAGTTGTGCCATTTGCCTAGGGTGCAAATCTCTGGCAGTGCATACCCCCATCTTTAATTATGCAGGCAGGTTTTCAGCATGAGCTGTACTATACTGCCCATTTCTTTCTTATTGTCCCTGGTGGACATGCCTGGCCCCCAGGTAGCCCTTTTTACTGGCACAGCTGCTGGCATTCCCACATCCCCATGCATGCTTCTAGCTTCCTTATGTATGTTTCCAGCTCAATTTTTCAGGCTGCTTTTGATTAGAAAAAAATAATTTCTAGGGCTGCTTTTGTTACAAGGCAAGTTCTGGTGAGGACTCTTTTGCCCTCACTATCCGCCTAAATAATTTCCTTCTACCTCCTGTATCACTTGTTTCTTGGTTTCACAGCCCAACTTCATTGGCCATTAGTGATGGGGCTCAGAGAAAAGAATAAAGCCTGGGTACCAATTGATCAACTTTTCCTTTTGAGCAGAATCCCAAAGCACTTCAGGGGGCAAGCCACTGGTCTCCAATGAAACACAGTTCCCACAGACAGTCACAGGAATAGGATTCTGAATTCTTGAACTGTGTGTACTGCACTCTTCAACTTCACAAAACAAAACAAAAAAGAAAATGCAATCTGCCAATGTGAGGAAAGACCATCATCATTCTCTTATTTAAAAGTTGTGAGGATGAGGCACAAAGCACAACACAGACTCTCCTGTTTGACTATGCATATCCATAACATTAATCAAATTTTATTCATAGTTTATTTATTTATCATGTAGTACTTATTCTCTGCCAGGCACTAGTCTAAGTGTTTTTATAAATATTAACTTAATCTTCATAAGAATCCTGTGAGGAAGAAATTATTACTAAATCTATTCTATAAATGAAGAAATTGGGGCACAGAAAAGTTAAATAACTTGTCCAAAGTCACAAATTTGGTTAAGTGATAGAATCAGAATGTAAACCCAGGCAGTCTGTGCTCTTGATCATATGCTAAGTTGCTTCTCATTCTCTAATAATAAAATAATAACATATTTTGTATGACTTAATATTTCAGTACTGAAATCACCTTCTTTTTCAAAACCTGCTTTTACTCTGATATTACTGATTCTGGTTACCGGTATAACAAACCTAACAAGTTACCTAAGCCAAATATTCTCATCATAACTCCTTAAAGCTAACCTGTCACTGGAACATATCAACACTATTTCCCACATATCTCTCAATCTTTCCTTCATTCTTGGTTGCTGCTGCTATGGCCCTGTTACCGCCTGGGTCTCCGGCAATAAACTCCATCCATGATTGCCCTGTCACTTTTCAATCCTTTGTTCATTCTTTCTCCAATAATTCTAAACCAATATCATGTTATTCACACTCATGAAAACCCTCACATAATTTTCCACCCTCTATACCTGTGATTCTTGAGGTGTTTCTCCATGGATCACCAACATCAGAATCACTCTAAGGATCTTCAAAAAATAGAGATTTGCTTGCTGTTTAGAAACAAACTTTAAGCAACTGACAGCAGGGAGATTGGGAGTTGGTTGTGTTAGTTAATCTGCTTTTGTAACCATGTGACAGAAACCAGCATGAACTGGGCAAATGGAAATGAAAATCTTATGTGCAATAATACTCAAATATTTTACAAAACTCAGCCTTAAAGAAGCAACTGGACATGAGACAATTTGAACACTGTTTGGAATCTCCCATTCCTAAGCTTTGTTCCATTTATCACTCTTGCTACACATGACCAAAAACATGGTTGATATAACTCTTACGTTTTAGGTTTTACAGTTGAAGACTCTAAAGGGGCCCTAATTGAACTCTCAGGGAAGAAGCTCAGACAGACCAAGTTGAGTTGGGTGTTCCCCCCTCACCAACTAGTGTTACCAGGTACCACACATAGGGCCACACTGGAGTATGGCATCCCCAGCTACAGCTATGTGAAAGAGAGGGACAACTGAGAGGACATGCCTTAGGCATCCACCACAATCACTTCATTGATATTGAAGCAAGGAGGACAGTTTAAACGGTGGGTAACTCAGGTTAGAGATATGGAACTGGATCATTGAACAGGAAGACTCAGACGAGGACTAGACTAGAGACAGTCCTAAAACCTCCCCTGGTGAAGGCCTTTACCAATACCCAAGAAGAACTGACCATTAAACCCAAGCTTAGCTGTATGTTATTTATCATTTTCTGTTATGTCTGCTAAAATTAAATATTCATATAATAGATGTACTAGTTCATTCTCTCATTGCTATAACTGCCCAAGACTGGGTAATTTATGAAGAACAGAGGTTTAATTGACTCATAGTTCTGCATGGCAGGGAAGGCCTCAGGAAACTTGTAATCATGGCTGAAGGGAAGAAGCACATCTTACATGGCGGCAGGTGAGAGAGAGCAACAGGGTGAAGGAGGAATGGTCAGGCACTTATAAAACCATCATACCTCATGAAAACTCACTCACTATCCCAAGAACAGCACGGGGGACACTGCATCCATGATTCAATCACCTCCCATCAGGTCTCTCCCTTGACACGTGGGGATTATGGGGATTACAATTCAAGATGAGATTTGGGTGGGGAACAAAGCCCAACCATATCACTAGATAAGAAGTTTGTTTCATGGCATAGTTTTAGATTTTAATGAATTTGTTTGCCGTTGTCTTAAAGGCCTTAGAAAAGGCACTGTTCAGAAGACAGCAAATGGCTACAGTGAAAATGGTAAGAGGTCGACAGTCAGATAGGCCTGTCCCCCACCCCCCTGCCACTTGAGCACTTCTCTCATCCATGGGCTTTGTAACCAAGCAAGGGCTCTGACCATCTGCAAGCTTCAGATGCTCACAAACTTTTCTTGATCATGGCACTCCATTCATGTATTTTATGTTATTTAGCCTAAGTTGTAATTACTCATTCAGCGAATACTCCTTCAACCCCCACTATGTGCCAGACACTGTTTGATATAGTTTGGATGTTTTGTCCCCTCCAAGTCTCATGTTGAAATGTGACCACCAATGTTAGAAGTCTGGCTTAATGGAAGATGTTTGGATCATGGGGGCAAATTATCTCATGAATGGCTTTGTGCCTTCCGCATAGTAATGAGTTCACTTGAAAGCTGGTTGTTTAAAGAGCCTGGCAACTGCCCCTGCTCCCACCCCACCTCTTGCTCCCCCTCTTGCCATGTGACATGCTGGCTCCCCCCTTTTGCCTACTGCCGTGAGTATAAGCTTGCTGGGGCCTCACCAGAAACCAAACCAAATACATGAGCCAAACACATCTAGTTTTTTGAAGGTTACCCAGTCACAAGTATTTCTTTATAGCAACAAAAATGGACGAACACAGTGTTCTAGGAAGATCAGATAAAGCACTGAGGATAAAAGATCCCTTCCCTCATGAAGCTTGCATTCTAATGGAGAAAATAGTTTAACAAAATATATAAGCAAAATTGCAGTATGTTAAGTGCTCAATGATAAGGATAAATTCAAAGCATAGAAAGGTTGGCATTTTTTGAAAATATTTTTCTGTATACTTACTGTCTGTCCTGTCTTCTAGACTGGAAATATCTTAAGTACAGGTACAGTTTATTCCCACCATATACTCAGTGCCTGATCCCATGTAGTAGATGCTAAATGAATCTTTGTTGGTGCTTACATTACTCTGCTCAGGTTGCCGTAACGATATACCGTAGACTGGACAACTTAACAAAAATTTATTTTCTCACAGCTCTGGAGGCTAGAAATCCTAGATTAAGGGGCCAGCATAGTTGAGCTTTGGTGAGAGTTCCTTCCTGACTTGCAGAAAGCCAACTTCTTTTTGTAGTCCCATATGGCAGGGAGAGAAAGAAAGAGAGAGAGAGAAAAAAAGACAGTGCAAGTGCTCTGGCATCTTTTCTTGTAAGGGAACCAATCTTTTCATGAGGGCCCCATCCTCTTCTAACCCTAATTACCTCCCAAAGGTCAGTCTCCAAATATCATCACCTTAAGGGCTGGGGCTTCAACATATGAATTTGGGGAGATATAAACATTCAGTTTATAACAGTGCTTGAAATTAATATTCATTTCCTTAAGTAGAGGAATCTGAGCAAATTGGATCCAAAATTCAGAGCATGTATTCTTGAGCCAGGGTGCATAGGTTTGAATTTCATCATCTACCATTTATTACCTGTGAGACACTAGGCAGATTTTTTTTTCACCTCTCTCTGTTTACTCATCTGTAAAATGGGTACCTACCTCATTGGGTTATGAGAATTAAACGTGTTAATACCTGGCACAAAACTCCATATATGATTTTTTAAAATTAAAATGTGTCTAAGTGGGTAGAATAAGTATATTCATTTTCCAGAGCTCTCATAAGAAATACCACAGACGAGGTGGCTTAAACAATAGAAATATGTTTTCTCATGATTCAGGAGGCCAGAAGTCCAAGATCAAATATGTCAGCAGGTTCAGTTTCTTTTGAGGCCTCTTTCCTTGGCTTGCAGATGGCATGGCTACTTCTCATTGTGTTCTTGCATGGTCGTCCTTCTGTCTGTGCATTTTTCTGGTTTCATTCCTTGTGTATCCAAATCTTCTCTTTTTATAAGAACATCAGTCATATTGGATTAGGGACCATCATAAAGACTTCAACTAAATCCTTTAAGACCATCTCTAATCGTGGACACATTCTAAGGTACTAGGGTTAGGACTTAACATATGAATGGATTACAGAGGTAGATACAATTTAGTGCATAACACTAGGAACATAAGCCTTTTTTTTTTTTTTTTTTTTTTTTGAGACAGGGTCTTACTCTATCACCCAGGCTGGAGTGCAGTGCCGTGATCATGGCTCATTGCAGCCTCAACATCCCAGGCTCATAGAGGCAGCCAAGATGGCTGAATAGGAACAGCTCCGTTCTACAGCTCCCAGCGTGAGCAACGCAGAAGACGGGTGATTTCTGCATTTCCATCTGAGGTACCGGGTTCATCTCACTAGGGAGTGCCAGACAGTGGGCACAGGACAGTGGGTGCAGCGCACCGTGCATGAGCCGAAGCAGGGCGAGGCATTGCCTCACTCGGGAAGCGTAAGAGATCAGGGAATTCCCTTTCCTAGTCAAAGAAAGTGGTGACAGACGGCACCTGGAAAATTGGGTTACTCCCACTCTAATACTGTGCTTTTCCGACAGGCTTAAAAAACGGCGCACCAGGAGATTATATCCCACACCTGGCTCAGAGGGTCCTACACCCACGGAGTCTCCCTGATTGCTAGCACAGCAGTCTGAGATCAAACTGCAAGGTGGCAGCCAGGCTGGGGGAGGGGTGCCCACCATTGCCCAGGCTTGCTTAGGTAAACAAAGCAGCCTGGGAAGCTCCAACTGGGTGGAGCCCACCACAGCTCAAGGAGGCCTCCCTGCCTCTGTAGGCTTCACCTCTGGGGGGCAGGGCACAGACAAACAAAAAGACAGCAGTAACCTCTGCAGACTTAAATGTCCCTGTCTGACAGCTTTGAAGAGAGCAGTGGTTCTCCCAGAACGCAGCTGGAGATCTGAGAATGGGCAGACTGCCTCCTCAAGTGGGTCCCTGACCCCTGACCCCCAAGCAGTCTAACTGGGAGGCACCCCCCAGTAGGGGCAGACTGACACCTCACACGACCGGGTACTCCTCTGCAACAGAACTTCCAGAGGAACGATCAGACAGCAGCATTTGCGGTCCATGAAAATCCACTGTTCTGCAGCCACCTCTGCAGATACCCCGGCAAACAGGGTCTGGAGTGGACCTCTAGCAAACTCCAACAGACCTGCAGCTGAGGGTCCTGTCTGTTAGAAGGAAAACTAACAAACAGAAAGGACATCCACACCAAAAACCCATCTGTACATCACCATCATCAAAGACCAAAAATAGATAAAACCACAAAGATGGGAAAAAACAGAGCAGAAAAACTGGAAACTCTAAAAAGCAGAGCACCTCTCCTCCTCCAAAGGATCACAGTTCCTCACCAGCAACGGAACAAAGCTGGACAGAGAATGACTTTGACGAGTTGAGAGAAGAAGGCTTCAGATGATCAAACTACTCCGAGCTACAGGAGGAAATTCAAACCAAAGGCAAAGAAGTTCAAAACTTTGAAAAAAATGTAGACGAATGTATAATTAGAATAACCAATACAGAAAAGTGCTTAAAGGAGCTGATGGAGCTGAAAGCCAAGGCTGGAGAACTACGTGAAGAATGCAGAAGCCTCAGGAGCCGATGTGATCAACTGGAAGAAAGGGTATCAGTGATGGAAGATGAAATGAATGAAATGAAGCAAGAAGGGAAGTTTAGAGAAAAAAGAATAAAAAGAAATGAACAAAGCCTCTAAGAAATATGGGACTATGTGAAAAGACTGAATCTACGTCTGATTGGTGTACCTGAAAGTGACGGGGAGAATGGAACTAAGTTGGAAAACACTCTGCAGGATATTATCCAGGAGAACTTCCCCAATCTAGCAAGGCAGGCGACCATTTGGATGCAGGAAATACAGAGAACGCAACAAAGATACTCCTCAAGAAGAGCAACTCGAAGACACATAATTGTCAGATTCACCAAAGTTGAAATGAAGGAAAAAATGTTAAGGGCAGCCAGAGAGAAAGGCTGGGTTACCCACAAAGGGAAGCCCATCAGACTAACAGCTGATCTCTCGGCAGAAACTCTACAAGCCAGAAAAGAGTGGGGGCCAATATTCAACATTCTTAAAAGAATTTTCCACCCAGAATTTCATATCCAGCCAAACTAAGCTTCATAAGTGAAGGAGAAATAAAATACTTTACAGACAAGCAAATGCTGAGAGATTTTGTCACCACCAGGCCTGCCCTAAAAGAGCTCCTGAAGGAAGCACTAAACATGGAAAGGAACAACCGGTACCAGCCACTGCAAAATCATGCCAAATGGTAAAGACCATCGAGGCTAGGAAGAAACTGCATCAACTAATGAGCAAAATAACCAGCTAACATCATAATGACAGGATCAAATTCACACATAACAATATTAACTTTAAATGTAAATGGACTAAATGCTCCAATTAAAAGACACAGACTGGCAAATTGGATGAAGAGTCAAGACCCATCAGTGTGCTGTATTCAGGAAAGCCATCTCACGTGCAGAGACACACATAGGCTCCAAATAAAAGGATGGAGGAAGATCTACCAAGCAAATGGAAAACAAAAAAAGGCAGGGGTTGCAATGCTAGTCTCTGATAAAACAGACTTTAAACCAGCAAAGATCAAAAGAGACAAAGCCATTACATAATGGTAAAGGGATCAATTCAATGAGAAGAGCTAACTATCCTAAATATATGTGCACCCAATACAGGAGCACCCAGATTCACAAAGCAAGTCCTGAGTGACCTACAAAGAGACTTAGACTCCCACACAATAATAATGGGAGACTTTAACAACCCACTGTCAACATTAGACAGATCAACGAGACAGAAAGTTAACAAGGATACCCAGGAATTGAACTCAGCTCTGCACCAAGCAGACCTAATAGACATCTACAGAACTCTCCACCCCAAATCAACAGAATATACACTTTTTTCAGCACCACACCACACCTATTCCAAAATTGACCACATACTTGGAAGTAAAGCCCTCCTCAGCAAATGTAAAAGATCACACATTATAACAAACTGTCTCTCAGACCACAGTGCAATCAAACTAGAACTCAGGATTAAGACACTCACTCAAAACCGCTCAACTACATGGAAACTGAACAACCTGCTCCTGAATGACTACTGGGTACATAAAAAAATGAAAGCAGAAATAAAGATGTTCTTTGAAACCAACGAGAACAAAGACACAACATACCAGAATCTCTGGGACACATTCAAAGCAGTGTGTAGAGGGAAATTTATAGCACTAAATGCCCACAAGAGAAAGCAGGAAAGATCTAAAATTCACACCCTGACATCACAATTAAAAGAACTAGAAAAGCAAGAGCAAACACATTCAAAAGCTAGCAGAAGGCAAGAAATAACTAATATCAGAGCAGAACTGAAGGAAATAGAGACACAAAAAACCCTTCAAAAAATTATTGAATCCAGGAGCTGGTTTTTTGAAAGGATCAACAAAACTGATAGACCACTAGGAAGACCAATAAAGAAGAAAAGAGAGAAGAATCAAATAGATGCAATAAAAAATGATAAAGGGGATATCACCACCGATCCCACAGAAATACAAACTACCATCAGAGAATACTACAAACACCTCTACGCAAATAAACTAGAAAATCTAGAAGAAATGGATAAATTCCTCGACACATACACTCTCCCAAGACTAAACCAGGAAGAAGTTGAATCTCTGAATAGACCAATAACAGGAGCTGAAATTGTGGCAATAATCAATAGTTTACCAACCAAAAAGAGTCCAGGACCAGATGGATTCACAGCCGGATTCTACCAGAGGTACAAGGAGGAACTGGTACCATTCCTTCTGAAACTATTCCAATCAATAGAAAAAGAGGGAATCCTCCCTAACTCATTTTATGAGGCCAGCATCATCCTGATACCAAAGCCAGGCAGAGACACAACCAAAGAAGAGAATTTTAGATCAATATCCTTGATGAACATTGATGCAAAAATCCTCAATAAAATACTGGCAAACCGAATCCAGCAGCACATCAAAAAGCTTATCCACCATGATCAAGTGGGCTTCATCCCTGGGATGCAAGGCTGGTTCAATGTACACAAATCAATAAATGCAGTCCAGCATATAAACAGAACCAAACACAAAAACCACATGATTATCTCAATAGATGCAGAAAAGGCCTTTGACAAAATTCAACAATGCTTCGTGCTAAAAACTCTCAATAAATTAGGTTTTGATGGGACGTATCTCAAAATAATAAGAGCTATCTATGACAAACCCACAGCCAATATCATACTGAATGGGCAAAAAGTGGAAGCATTCCCTTTGAAAACTGGCACACGACAGGGATGCCCTCCCTTGCCACTCCTATTCAACCTAGTGTTGGAAGTTCTAGCCAGGGCAATTAGGCAGGAGAAGGAAATAAAGAGTATTCAATTAGGAAAAGAGGAAGTCAAATTGTCCCTGTTTGCAGATGACATGATTGTATACCTAGAAAACCCCATTGTCTCAGCCCAAAATCTCCTTAAGCTGATAAGCAACTTCAGCAAAGTCTCAGGATACAAAATCAATGTGCAAAAATCACAAGCATTCTTATACACCAATAACAGACAAACAGAGAGCCAAATCATGAGTGAACTCCCATTCACAATTGCTTCAAAGAGAATAAAATACCTAGGAATCCAACTTACAAGGGATGTGAAGGACCTCTTCAAGGAGAACTACAAACCACTGCTCAATGAAATAAAAGAGGATACAAACAAATGGAAGAACATTCCATGCTCATGAGTAGGAAGAATCAATATCGTGAAAATGGCCATACTGCCCAAGGTAATTTATAGATTCAATGCCATCCCCATCAAGCTACCAATGACTTTCTTCACAGAATTGGAAAAAACTACTTTAAAGTTCATATGGAACCAAAAAAGAGCCTGCATCACCAAGTCCTAAGCCAAAAGAACAAAGCTGGAGGCATCACGCTACCTGACTTCAAACTATACTACAAGGCTACAGTAACCAAAACAGCATGGTACTGGTACCAAAACAGAGATATAGATCAATGGAACAGAACAGAGCCCTCAGAAATAATGCCGCATATCTTCAACTATCTGATCTTTGACAAACCTGACAAAAACAAGCAATGGGGAAAGGATTCCCTATTTAATAAATGGTGCTGGGAAAACTGGCTAGCCATATGTAGAAAGCTGAAACTGGATCCTTTCCTTCCACCTTATACAAAAATTAATTCAAGATGAATTAAAGACTTAAACTTTAGACCTAAAACCATAAAAACCCTAGAAGAAAACCTAGGCATTACCATTCAGGACATAGGCATGGGCAAGGACTTCATGTCTAAAACACCAAAAGCAATGGCAACCAAAGCCAAAATTGACAAATGGGATCTAATTAAACTAAAGAGCTTCTGCACAGCAAAAGAAACTACCATCAGAGTGAACAGGCAGCCTCCAAAATGGGAGAAAATTTTCGCAACCTACTCATCTGACAAAGGGCTAATATCCAGAATCTACAATGAACTCAAACAAATTTACAAGAAAAATCAAACAACCCCATCAAAAAGTGGGCAAAGGACATGAACAGACACTTCTCAAAAGAAGACATTTATGCAGCCAAAAACCACATGAAAAAATGCTCACCATCACTGGCCATCAAAGAAGTGCAAATCAAAACCGCAATGAGATACCATCTCACACCAGTTAGAATGGCAGTCATTAAAAAGTCAGGAAACAACAGGTGCTGGAGAGGATGTGGAGAAATAGGAACACTTTTACACTGTTGGTGGGACTGTAAACTAGTTCAGCCATTGTGGAAGTCAGTGTGGTGATTCCTCAGGGATCTAGAACTAGAAATACTATTTGACCCAGCCATCCCATTACTGAGTATATACCCAAAGGACTATAAATCATGCTGCTATAAAGACACATGCACACGTATGTTTATTGCGGCATTATTCACAATAGCAAAGACTTGGAACCAACCCAAATGTCCAACAATGATAGACTGGATTAAGAAAATGTGGCACATATACACCATGGAATACTATGCAGCCATAAAAAATGATGAGTTCATGTCCTTTGTAGGGACATGGATGAAATTGGAAATCATCATTCTCAGTAAACTATCGCAAGAACAAAAAACCAAACACCGCATATTCTCACTCATAGGTGGGAACTGAACAATGAGACCACATGGACACAGGAAGGGGAACATCACACTCTGGGGACTGTTGTGGGGTTGGGGGACGGGGGAGGGATAGCATTAGGAGATAGACCTAATGCTAAATGACGAGTTAATGGGTGCAGCACACCAGCATGGCACATGTATACATATGTAACTAAACTGCACATTGTGCACATGTACCCTAAAACTTAAAGTAGATTAATAATAAAATAAAAAATAGAAAAAATAAAAAAAAAAACATCCCAGGCTCAAGTGATCCTCATGCCTCACCCTCCCAAACAACTGGGACTACAGGTGCATGCCACTATGCCCAGCTACCTATTAAATTTTTTATAGAGTTGAGGTTTCACTATATTGCCTAGGCTGGTCTCGAGCTCTTGGGTTCCAGCAATCTTCCTTCCTTGGTCTCCCAAGGTGCTGAGATTACAGGTGTAAACTACCATGCCCAGTGTACATAAACCTTTTAAACCCTCCGGTACATTATTTACTTTGGTTTCTATAGCAACTTTCTAATGTGGCAGGATGACATGTATTACCATTATCCTCAGTGCACATATGAAGACGGAGGTTGGGTAAGCGTATTTCCAGGCAATTTTTTAAAAAGAAGAAAACTAAGGTTAACCATATGCAGAATTGTTACTTCAAATAAAGTACTGTATCCCCAAGATTACAATATCTCTATATGCTGTCACTTCCATGACTCTCAGTGAGATACAATTATAAGCTGCTGAAGTCCATTTGGAGAAGGCAGAGTGGGCCTGCTATGGGACAGATGCCTTGCACAATGCAGAGTAGCAGCCTATAATTTGGACACTTCAATGAATATAAAGAATGGAAAAGAGGAAGTTAAGTACCTTAAAATATAGCTGAATGTGCTGGCATCTGGGATTTGCTTGGCTATTTTTCACTGAGACTGTTCACATCCAAATGAAGATATCCCTTTACCCAGGAAACTCGAACTTTAAAAAGTGCTGACGTGTCCATGGGCATTGCTGTTGAGATGTAGGCAGACTTGATAGCAACACATTCATATTTTTATAAATTTCTACTTCAGCTTTACCCAAGTACAAATTGGAAAAAGACTTCCCACAGCCACCTAGTTGACTGGCCTAGAAAACACAATTCTGATTACTTCATAGCAGTATTCCCAGAGGTACCTTGTTACAGCAATTACAAAATCTTTGGAAATTGAAGGAAAAGTCCTGTCAAATGAATTACTAAAATGATTGTATTTTACAAGACTTACATGGAACAGCTGTTGTAGTATTGAAGGAAAACAATGACCTTAGAATGGGATCCTGAAGGCTATAGGTTTGAGGTGAGGGTCAGCTAAGGCAAGGGGCTTTTGGGTCTAGAAATGCTGTCATGCTTTTAGGTTGGAAGTCAGTCTCTTATCTTTTAAATTATGAAGCATTAATGATTGCCAATAATTATCTTTAGTAAGATGCAATATTTTATTTTAGTCTGTGCATTAGTCTGTTTTCACATTGCTGTGAAGAGATACCTGAGACTGGGTAATTTGTAAAGGAAAGAGGTTTAATTGACTCACAGTTCCCCATTGCTGGGTGGCGGGGGGGGTCTCAGGAAACTTACAATCATGGTGGGAGGCAAAGGAGAAGCAAGGCAACTTCTTCACAGGGTGGCAGGATGGAGTGAGTACCAAGCAAAGGGGGAAGCCCCTTATAAAACCATCAGATCTCATGAGAACTCACTCACTATCATGAGAACATCATGGGGGAAACTGCCCCCACGATTCAATTACCTTCACCTAGTCCCACCTTTGACATGTGGGGATTACGGAGATTACAATTAAAGGTGAGATTTGGGTGGGGACATAGAGCCAAACCATACCAGTCTATGTCCCACTACTAGGTAATGGGTTGCAATGAAAAGTGTACAACCTGTTGTACATAGTATAGCATTGCTAGAAAAGTCTTTTCCATGCTGTCTTTCTCTCCTACTTCTCCTTCTGTGCTTTGCCCCAAGCAAACATAATGCACTGAAAAGGAGATGGATTGAGCTGTATTTCAAATGCTGGATTAAACCCTCAGATTTGCCTTCAGTCTCTCTCGAGACCTCATTGAAATAAGAACATAGGAGTACAAAATGAGCAAATATGTAACTGCAAAGAGAACAAGAGTGGGGTTGTGATCATCAGTGGATTGATAGATTTCCATAAATATATAAAGACAGAAAATGAAATGATGTCTATGGTCTATGTCACAGCAATCACTCATAAAATGCATGTCAGAGAAATTCTCACTTAGGCTGTAGGAGCATGTACACAGATGTTCATTGTATTAGGCTCTTCTTGCCTTGCTATAAAGAAATACCAGAGACTAGATAATTTATAAGAGAAGAATAACTGACTCATGGTTCTGCAGGCTGTACAGAAAGCATACTGCTGGTGTCTGCTTCTGGGGAGGCCCCAGGAAGCTTACAGTCATGACAGAAGGCAAAAGAGGAAACAGGTGTTTCACATGTTGGAAGCAGGAGCAAGAGAGAGTGGTGGAAGGTGCCACACACTTTTACACAATCAGATCTCATGATAACTCACTCACTATACCAAAGACATTACCAAGAAGGTGGCACTAAACCACTCATGAGGTATATACCCCCATGATCCTATCACCTTTCACCAGGCCTCACCTCCGACATTGGGGATTACATATCAACACAACATTTGGAAGGGACAAATATCCAAACTACATCATACTGCCCTTACTCCCCCTAAAACTTCATGTCCTTCTCACATTGCAAAATATAATCATCCCTTCTCAATAGTACCCCAAAGTTTTAACTCATTTCAGCATTAACTCAAAAGTCCCAAGTCTCATTTGGAGATGATTTCCTTCTGCCTATAAGTCTATGAAGTCAAAACAAGTTATTTGCTTTCAAGATATAATGGGGGTACTGTCACATGCGTCCGTGTGAAGAGAATCCACCAGCAGGCTTTGTGTGAGCAACACAGCTGTTTATTTCACTTGGGTGCAAGTGGGCTGAGTCCAAAAAGAGAGTCAGCAAAGGGAGATGGGGTGGGGCAGTTTCATAGGATTTGGGTAGGTAGTGGAAAATTACAGTTAAAGGGGGTTATTCTCTTGCGGGCAGGGGTGGGGGTTACAAGGTGCTCAGTGGGGAGGTTCTGATATTCATTGTCCAGGAGAAGGAATTTCACAAGGTCAATTGATCAGTTAGGGTGGGACAGGAACAAATCACAATGGTGGAAGGTCATCAGTTAAGGAAGGAACTGCCCATTTTCACTTCTTTTGTGGTTCTTCAGTTGCCTCAGGCCATCTGGATGTATATGTGCAGGCTTGGGCTCAGAGACCCGACAGGTACAATCATTGGTAAGCATTCCCATTCCCAAAGGAAGAAATCAGCCAAAAGTAAGGGGCTACAGGCCTCAAGCAAGTTCAAAACACAGCAGGGCAGTCATTAAATATTAAAGCTCCAAAATAATTTCCTTCATTCTATATCTCACATCCAGGGCACACTGTTGTAAGGGGTGAATTCTCAAAGCCTTGGGCAGCTCTGCCCCTATGGCTTTGTACTGTTCAGCCCTTGCAGCTACTCTCAGAGGTTGTAGTTGAATGCCTTCAGCTTTTCCTTGCACAGGGTGCTAGCTGCCAGTGGATCTACCATTCTGGGTTCTGGAGAGTGGTGGCCCTCTTCTCACAGCTCCACTAGGCAGTGCTCTGTTGGAGACTCTGTGTGTGGCCTACAAACCCACATTTCCCCTATGCACTGCCCTAATAGAGGTTCTTGTGACAGCCCCATCCAAACTCTGCCTGGGCACCCTGGCTTTTCCATACATTTTCTAAAATCTAGGAAGAGGTTCCCAAGCCTCAATTGTTGTACTCTGTGCCCTCACAGACTTAACACTACATGGAAGCTGCCAAGGTTTATGGCTTGCACCATCTGAAGCAGTGGCTTAAGCTGTACCTAAGTCCCTTTGAGCCAAGGCTGGAGACGGACTGGCTGGGATGTGGAGAGCAGTGTCTCAGACTGGGTAAGGTAGCAGGGTCCTGGGCCTGACCCACGAAACCATTCTTCCCTGCTAGGCCTCCAGGCCTGTGATGAGAGGGGCTGCCACAAAAGCCTCTGCAATGCCTTTGAGGCCTTTTTCCCATTATCTTGGCTATCAGCACTTGCCTCCTTTTTAATTATGCAAATTTCTCTAGCAAGAGGTTGCACAGCAGCCTGCCTGAATTCTTCTCCTGAAAATGGGCTTTTCTTTTCTATCACATGGCCAGTCTGCAAGTTTTCCAAATTTTTATGCTCTGCTTCCCCTTTAAATATAAGTTCCAACTTTAGGTCATTTCTTTGCTCAGATATCTGAGCACAGGCTATTAGATGCAGTCGTGCCATGTCTAGAACACTTGGCTGCTTAGAAATTTCTTCCACCACATACCTAAACTATCACTCTCAAGTTCAAATTCTACAAATATCTAGGGCAGAGATACAATACAGCCAAGTTGTTTGCTAAAGCATAACACACATGATCTTTGCTCCAGTTCCAAATAAGTTTCTGATTTCCATCTGAGATTTCATCAACCTGGGTTTCACTGTCCATATCACTATGAGCATTTTAGTCACAATCATTTAACAGTCTCTAAAAAATTTCAAATGTTCCCTCATCTGCCTGTCTTCTTCTGAGTCTTGAAAACTCTTCCAAACTCTGCCCATTACCCAGTTCCATTCCAAACTCATTTCCATATTTTCAGATATCTGTATAGCGATGCCCCACTCCTCAATACCAATTTTCTGTATTAGGACATTCTTGCACTGCTATAAAGAAATAACTTAGATTGGGTAATTTATAAGAAAAGATGTTTAATTGGCTCATGGTTCTATGGACTGTATAGAAAGCATAATGCCAGTATCTGCTTCTGAGGAGGCCTCAGGAAGCTTGGAATCAAGTGAGAAGGCAAAGGAGGAGTAGGCATCTAACATGGTGGGAGCAGGAGCAAGAGGGGAGAGGTGCCACATTCTTTTAAACAGCCAGATCTAGCGAGAACTCACTCGCTATCGTGAGGACAGCACCAAGGGCATGGTGCTGAACCATTCCTGGGAAATACACCATCGTGAGCCAATCACCTCCCCTCAAGCCCCACTTCCAACTCGGGATTACATTTCAGCATGAGATTCTGGTGGGGACAAATATCCAAACTATATCAGTCATTATGACAGTAAGGAGCCAGAAGAAACTTAGCAGAATGTAGAAGTAGAGGAGTGAATGCATTCTATGAGACACTAGAAAGCAATAAGTAGAAAAGTAAGGAACAAAATAAGTAAATATTTAGTGAGAAAAGTAGAAAAGGAATGAAAAAACACACTCTCATTCATGAAAATTAAAGACTAACACAAAATAGTGCATATTATAAAAGACTACCTACATCTTTTAAGGGCATATGAATACATTACTATGGGTACCTATGAGGGAGAGGTAGATAGGAATGAGAATGAGACTGGAGAAGAAGAGAAACAAATCATACAATAGAGGGCATCTACTTAAATTGCTAAACAATGTGCTCTGCTCATGGTATCTGGGGTTCTGTAGAAATACAACGAAAACAAAAAACATTAAATGGAAAATGGGTTCCATTAAACAGGAAATGAAAAGCCCTATCTCAGAATGTACTAAAAGAGAGTCACTCAGGGCACAATCCCACACATTCATATGAAGAGGTTACTTGAAGATGCACTTTCCATTATATGATCATCTAAACAATTTTATTTTTTCATTATGTTTATATGTTACTTAAATTTAAAAAACTAAAGTTAGAAATAAAGGGACATTATGATACATTGAAAAAGTTTAACTTGTTCTATATTTTTGGAAAAAAAACCCAAAAAACAAAAAAAGGGAGTGAATGCCTGAAGGAAATGTGGGTTAAAACTTTGGCATGCAGTTTGCCTACGATCTAATATAATTAAAAGAGTGACTTTCTCTTCTGAATGTATTAACAAAACCACCCAGAAAACATGAGGAGAGGCTCTGGAGACTTAGTGCCACAGGGCAGCCATTCAAGGCACTGGTTTATGCTTCCATAAACCCTACGAAAATTTGGGTTTCTTAGGATCTGAGGGTAGTGGATCTTTCATTAACAAAAGCCAAGCCCACCAGCAATATGAACCTTCTACTATGTGAAAGGAAAATACTGATTAAGCAAACCAAGCATTAAACTAGAGAAAATCTAAAACTCCAGTGGAAAAACAACTTTATTGATTCACCATGTTTGCCATTGACATACCCACAGCAGGTCTCATGATATTACACAGGAAGTCCAGCTCAGGCAGAAAAGTTCGCTTTGGTGTATGACAGTTGCAGCCAGATCTTCCTGTCTAGATGAAGATACCATTCAAATCCCAGAAAAACAAAACAAAGGATAAAAATCCCAGCAGCTGCAAATAATTTCTGTCCAGTCATCAGGATGGCCTTTTGCTTTCATTGCAACTACCATACAAACAGTTCAGAACTAAATAGGGAAATAACACAAAAACATTAACTTGGGCAATACTCAGTTGATAGATTCTATGTAAACTGTGAGTTAGAAAATAATTGAGGGCTTTTAAGAAAAGAAATAGTGCAGTTATTTCATCTATTAGACAAAATAGGTAAATTCTTACAGCTTTTTTTTCCCTTCTGTAGGTTCTCACTGTGCACTATATTAGGGTGACATTCAAACATCCTTTTAAAAGGTTTCTGGTGAAACTTTTTTGTATTTTCCAAGCCAAATAAAACTATTTACAGTAAGAAAACTATACACTCAGCTTAAAATATAAAAATAGAAATTCAAGGCCAAATAAAAAGTTGCATGAAAAATACATCTATCTTAAGGGTTAAATATAACCCTTAACCAATTAACAAGTTAACCAATTAACAAGTTAAATTGGTTAAGGGTTATATTTAACCCTTAAGATAGATGCATTTTTAGGCACCTTTTTATTTGGTCTTAATTTAATTTGCTAATTGGTTAAGGGTTTTTCAATTATTTTGGGAAAACCTGAGCATTCATAATTCATTTTACCATCTTGTAACTGTATGATGTGTATAGGAATGGGAACAGAATTTTTACAGGGCGGGCTAAAAAATACAATGATGTTAAACTATGAATTGCTTTATTTTGTAAATAGTAGTAGTAATATTAATAATAATAACAGGCCGGGCGCAGTGGCTCACGCCTGTAATCCCAGCACCTTGGGAGGCCGACGCAGGCAGATCACTTGAGGTCAGGAGTTCAAGACTAGCCTGGCAAACATGATGAAACCCCATCTGTACTAAAAATATAAAAAATTAGCCAGGCATGGTGGCAGGCACCTGTAATGCCAGCTACTCGGGAGGCTGAGGCAGGAGAATTTCCTGAACCCAGGAGGCAGAGGTTGCAGTGAGCCGAGATCACGCCATTGCACTCCAGCCTGGGAGACAGAGCAAAACTCCGTCTCAAATAAAATAAAAATAATAATAATTAATAATAAATTTTTCCAACAAAAATTTGATTTATCTTAGTTCAAGTGTAGGGTATTGAAGAGAATCAATTTAAGTGGCTATATTTATAATGTACAATTTTATTGTTTTAAGGGAAAAAAACTGGCCTCTTTTAAGGACATTTCTGTGGTTAAGGCTCAGAATAAATGCATTCTAATCAGGTTTCCTGTCAGCATAATCTTGAGGGATTTTTTTTTTTTCAGTTAGAGGTCCTACTGTAACAAGATTTGAATATGGTGGGATTTGGAGACTCCTATCATTTTCTCTAAATTTGATCTCTCGAGTCAAACCAAATGGAAAAACAGCAGCTTTCCAAGACCACAGCCACTTCTGTGTTGAAACGTGATTCTCCAGTTCCAAAGACAAATTAACCTACTGATTCAAAGCAACAAAGACCTTGGTCCAGCTCTTTACTGTACCTATGATCCAGGCTGCCCGCATGAATTTTACTTACAGGCAATGAAACCATGATTGTTGATGCACAACAGCCGACAGCCCTATGGATGTGATCCTTAAGATCATCACCACACTCGGGTAATATCAAGACCAGAATGGGGAGGCTGTTCATGTGAGGTGAAGAGTCGTTACAATATTTATATGGTGATCATGGCAAAGTGTAATCAGACCTTCTGCAACAATAACAATTATAAAACATTTAATCAACATCAGAGAACTTATCTGAAGTACAGAATGTCTAGGCAAATAGTCTGTTTAGAGAGCTCTTAGAATACCATCTGAGTAGAAGTTTCCAGAGAATAGCTTTGGTTACCATGCCTTTCAAAGCAGCTTTATGCTGCTAATACTAGGAATATTGACAAAATAGTTGTTTTAATTTAGAGATAATTTGATAGAGGCTAAAAAACAAATCAATATACTTTCAATTGTGTTTGTTACAGAATGGTGTGTGAAATGAATATCCTCAACTTATCCTCAAACCTTGCTACACCCTTTAGAGATTGAGGACAGAGTGGGGCTCAGGAATTGATGGTAGTGAAAAATGAGTGAGGCTTCTAGAGGAGATGAGGAACGGGGAAGGGACAGACAAAATCTCAGCAAATATTAAGGCACTGTTTTCCATGCTGGGGAAGAGAAACATTTTCTTCTGTCATGCAGCTGACAATCCAAGTGGGAGTGACAGTGAAGAACCAGCAAATAAAATAACAAAACAAGGTAATTTTAGATATTTCAGTGCCATGGAAAAAAAATTAAGCAGGTTATATGATAGAGAACCCCTGGGATGGTAGTGAATTTGCCAGGCAGAGCACGAGGGCCAGTGCAACATAATGAGTGAGGGAGAGGATAGTATGGGTGAGGCAGGCAGGGATAAGAGAGTTATCTAAGGGTTAATACCTTAACTTGGGTTACTACCCAAGTTGTCTCAACTTGGATATTATTGATATTGAGACCAAATAATTCTGTGCTGCAGGGTGCTGTCCTGTATCTTGTAAGATATTTAACATTATTCCTTAGCCTCTACCCAATGAATGCCAGTAGCACGTCCCAGTCATGACAACAAAAAATATTTCCAGATATCACCAAATTTACTCTGGGACATTTGAAACTCTGTAACTGAGAACCACAGGCTCATGTACGGCCTTAGAAGGAGGAGTGATGGGCAAAATGCTTAACTCATGGCATAGGCAGCAGCCAATTGGAATGTATGCTGTCTGAAAACGATTGATAAGACTGTTCCAGCACATCCTGAATGAACATCAACCCTGCTATAGCTCATGGTAAAGAGTTTGGATTTTATAATAATAGTGATGGAAAGTTATAGTAGTGCTTTAAGAGAGTAACATGATTCTTTTTTGTTTTCAAAAAGATCATCTTAGCTGTTAAACAGAATAGATTTCATGGCAGGGGCAGGGGCAGGGCAGCTTGAGAGGAAGCACAGAGATTGGTAGGAGGCTATTGAAATCTATGTGCAAAACGTTGACTTGGACTAGGGTGGCAACCATAAAGATGAATCAAAGTGATAAGAATAGATTCTAGAGGTGGGAGGCAAATGAAGAATCAGGGATTATAACGAAGTTTTGGTTTAACAATTGAGTGGATAGTGGTCATTTTAAGATGGGAAGACTAAGAGAAAAACAGATTTTAGAGGAAAAATCAACAATTCTGTTTCAGGTATGTTAAGTTTCATATGCCTGTGAAACAACTAAATGAAGTTGTCTAGCAGGTACTTGGGTACTTGAGTCTAAAGGACTGTGGAGTGGTCAGAGCTCTACATACACATTTTATCATCCCTAGTATACACCATATAAAAACGACTAATATCCAGAAGCCTATGTTCACAAAGGTAATCAACACAAGAGAGGCTACCAACCATTTAAACCGGAGTATCTGTGCATTTTCCAGGGATTAACTTACATATTTCATGCCCTACCTCTTATAACTTCTTTTATCCTCCTTACATTTGATAAAGATCAGCCTCGTTTACTCTCAATTAACAATTAGACCTCGCTGCTTAATAGGTTCCTTTTGTCTACTGAAAAATCTTGAGCAAACACCCCTGTGATCTTTACAAGATCTCCTGAAAATGCAAAATTGAATGTAAATCTATTAGACACTGAGGTGGGGGTAAGAACAGGGAGAAATACTAACAGAAGATATTTGAGTTACAATATGATTTATTATCCTTAGTCCCAGACAGCTCAGGAACCCTCAATTAAATACCATATATTCTCTCAACATTCAAAACAGTTTATCATCATATGTTTCATTTAATATTATTAAATTCCTGATTATACTATTGGTTTTGGAGAACAGGGGTCACTCTATTAGATTCAAACCTGGCTTTAACAGACACCAGCATAGACTACTGTTAATAAACTACAAATTATTACATTTAAATAACACATTGTGATTTTCAAGGCACTTTTCATAATGATACATTTTTATTTTCACCACAATTTTACAACATAGGGAAGGCAGATATTTGGATACCCATTTTTAAATTTAAAAAAATATTGTTCAACCAGATTACACAATTTTCCCAGGGCCCTACAGCTGGTAAATATTCAGAAAATAACTGGAACACAAGTACTTTAAAAACTAATCCAGCACTGAAAGAATAGACAACACTGTGCCAGTGCATTCTACAAGGCAACTCACACTATATGTGATGCCAAATGTTAACGGCTCATTTTACTTTTTCCAGAAAATAATCTGAGCTGGTTCTCAACCCAGGCATATTTCCTATGCTCCCTCTATATAATATACTTTTCCCACACTTAATAAAATTCTTGTGACTGCCAGCTGGGTTAAACTTGTGAGCTTTCCTTCTGCTTTCTTGGCTTGTCTCTGTTCTACTTGATATTATCTTCCTGAGACTTCTTTGATGTCATCCTAACTTTTCCCTGATTATTTCAATCCTACTATGGCTAAAACAGTGCACCAACTATAAAACTGGAATTACATTCTTCTTTTCCATGCTTAATGGGTTCTTCCTAACTTTGTTCTCTATTATTAATAAGTCTCTCTTTTTCAAACCCAAATTTTTCATTTTGTACTAACAAAATTTTTTTACTAATTTTAAAACTTATATATGATATTGTGGAAAATAACATAAAAGTAAAAAGATAAAAATATAAATTACCCATATTCTCACTAATCAAAGATGAGGTAAAATTTGATTGCTTTTTTTGTTTCCTATACTGAATGTTTAATTAATGATTTTGAATTTTTTCTTATTAATAGCAAAAGTATTCAAGTCCATAAATTTTTCTCAAAATACAACTTCAACTACATCTTGTAACCTTGGGAGAGAATGATAGGACATGAATTGAGAGAGGTAACATGTACCTGGATCATTTAGAGCGTTACAAGTGTTAGAACTTTGGCTTTTACCAGATGGAAATAGAGCCACTGGAGAGTTTTGAGCAGAGCAGTGGCGTAATCTAATTTAAAGGCTCAATCTGGCTGTTACGTTGAGAACAGCTATAAAGAGGAAAGTGTAGAAGCAGGAAAATATGGAAGGAGGCGATTGCAGTAATAAAGACAAGAGATAAAGATGAATTGGAGCAGGATGGTAATTCAGAGGTGGTAAAAAAATTAAAAAGACTCTGACTATAATTTAGAGATAGAGACGAGATTTTCTTACGTATTGGCTGAGGGGTGGAAGAGAAAGAGAAGGACTGAATCTCAAAGTTTCTGGCCTAAGTAATTGTTACCAACTGAGACGGGGAAACGTAAATGTACAGCAGGTTGGGAGGAAACATATTTTTGATATGTTGCTATCAAACTATCTAATGATCTCCCAGTCAGCAGGAGTGGCTGCATTAGTTTGGAGTGTAAGAGAGAAGTTTAGACCAGAGACAGGAATTTGGGGATCAGCAAACTTTTGAGAGTGGAACATGATGGCAGAGTAGGACTCTGAAGCAACTGTCTCCCCTCAAAATTACAATTTGAACAACAAAATAATAACTAAAAACTTCCCACATCTTGCAACAGTTATAGACATCCAGATATATGCAGCTCAAGAATTCCTAAACAGATTCAGCCCAAAGAACTCTTCTCCAAGGCATATTATCATCAAACTGTCAAAAGTCAAACACAAAGAGAATTCTGAAAACAGCAAGAGCAAATTGTTAACTCACTTATAATGGAATCCTCATCAGACTAACAGTGGATTTCTCAGCAGAAACCTTGTAGGCTGGGAGAGAATAAGGTGATATATTCAAAGTGCTGCAAGAAAAAAAAAATGTCAGCCAAGAACACTATACCCAGCCAAGCTATTATTCAAAAATGAAGGAAAAATAAAGTCCTAGACAAGGAAAAACTGAGGAAATTCATCATCACTAGACCAGCACAACAAGAAATGCTTAAGGCAGTGCTATATCTGGAAGCAAAGGACAATATATAATATCATAAAAACACACAAAAGTATAAAACTAACTGGTAGAGCAAATATACAAATGAGAAAGAGAAAGGAGTCAAATTTTATTGCTACAAAATAACCACCAACTCATACAAGCAAACAATAAAAGAAGAAGAACAAAACAAAGGATATACAGAACAATCAAGGAGGACTGCTTGTGGCCAGGAATTTGAGACTAGCCTGGGCTACATAGAAGGATCCCATCTCTACAGAACATTTAAAAATTAGTCAGGTGTAATGGTGTTTTCCTGTAGTACTAGCTACTTGGAAGGTTAAGGCAGGACAATCACGTGAGCCTAGGAATTCATGACCGCAGTGAGCTATGGCTGTGCCACTAGAGTCCAGCCTGGGCAACAGCATGAGACCCTGTCTCTAAAAAAAGAAGAAAAAATAAAACTTAAAAAAAGATGAAAAAGAAAACAATTAACAACATAACATGAGCAAGTCCTCATCTGTCAATAACAACATATGTAAATGGTTTAAATTCTCCAATTAAAAGATATAGACTGGTTGAATTGATTTTTTTAAGACCTAACCATATGCTGCCTACAAGAAACTCACTTTAACTCTAAAGACACACATGGACTGAAAGTTTTAAAATGGGAAAAACATATTCCGTGCAAATAGAAACCAAAATATATATGCACCCAACACTAGAGCATGTAGATGAATAAAGCAAACATTATTAGACTGAAGAGAGATTTGCATTCCAATCCAATAATAGCTGGGGACTTCAACATCCCACTTTCAGTATTGGACAGATCATCTATTCAGAAAATCAACAAAGAAACATCAGACTTAATCTGCCAAGAGACATTTACAAAATATTTTATCTAACAGCTGCAGACTACACATTCTTCTCATCAGCACATGGAGCATTCTGTAGGATAGACCATATATTAGGACACAAAACAGGTCTCAATAGATTTTAAAATTTAAAATTATATAAAGTGTCTTGTAAGACCATAATGAAATAAAACTAGAAATTAATAACAAGAGAAACTTTGGAAACTGTACAAATACATGGAAATTAAGCAACATGCTCATGGGTCAAGGAAGAAATTAAAGAGGAAATTTAAAAATATTAAAACAAGAAAAAATTAAAATACAACATATCAAAAACCTATGGGGTACAGCAAAAGCAGTGCTGAGAGAGATGATAGCAATAAATGCCTAAATTAAAAAAGTAGAAAAAATTAAAATAAACAGTCTAAAGATGCACCTCAAATAATTAGGAAAGGCAAACCCAAAATTAGTAGAAGAGAAATAATAAAGATCAAAATAGGCCTGAATGTAATAGAGGCTAAAAATAAATACAAAGGATCAAGAAAATGAAAAGTTTTTTTTTAAAAAAGGATAAGTTGATAAACTGCTAGTTACACTGCCAAGAAAAAAAGAGTAAATGTCCAATAAATAAAATCAGAAACACAAAAGAGGCATTACAACTAATACCACAGAAATACAAAAGATCACCAGGGACTATCATGAACAACTATACACTAACAAACTGAAAAACCTAGAGAAAATTGCTAAATTCCTGGGCATACAAACCACCAACATTAAACCAGGAAGAAAGAGAAATTCTGAACAGACCAATAATGAATAATGAGATGGAAACAGTAATAAAAAAAGTCTCCTAACAAGGAAAGTCCCAGGACCAAATGGCTTTACTGCTGAATTCTACCAAACTTATAAATAACTAACATCAATTCTTCTCAACTATTCCAAAAACATTGAAAAGGAGGGAATTTTTCTTAATTTATTTTATGAGATCAGCATTATCCTGACACCAAAACCAGACTAGGCTACAACAAATAAAGAAAACTGCATGCCAGTATTCCTGATGAACGTAGATGCAACAATCCTCAAGAAAATACTAGCAAACTGCATCCAACAACGTATCAAAAAGACAACAAACCATGATCAAGTGGAATTTAGCCAAGGGATGCAAGAATGGTTCAACATGTGCAAACCAGTAAATGTGACACATACATCATTACAAGATGATTATGAAGTTTTGTCCTTCATTCTACTGATGTAATAATATATCACATTTATTGGTTTGCACATTATAAATGATCATAAAACAGATTTATTCACGAAGGATGTTGAATTTAATTACTTTTCTTAGAAGAAAAAGTAATTGAATTCAACATCCCTTCATGATTAAAGCTCTCAACACATTAGGCATCAAAGGAAGCTGATATATGACAAACTCACAGCTAACATCACACAGAATGAGGAAAAGCTCAAAACCTTTCCTCTAAGAACTGGAACATGACTAGGATGCCCACTTTCAGCACTCTTATTCAACACAGTACTGGAAGTCCTAGACACAGCCAGGCAAGAGGAAAAAATAATTGAAAAAGAGGAAGTCAAATTGTTCCTCTTGGCAGATGACATGATCTTATATATAGAAAAACCTGAAGATTCGACCCCAAAACTCTTAGAACTAGTCAACAAATTCAGTAAAGTTTTACGATGCAAAATCAACACACAAAAATCAGTAGTGTTTCTAGACACTAATAAACAACTAGCTGAAAAAGAAACCCCATTTACTAGAGCTACAAAAAATAAAAATAAAATGCTCAGGAATACACTTAGCCAAGAAAGTGAAAACCTCAAAATTGAAATTATAAAATACTGATGAAAGAAACTGAAGACAAAAACAAATGAAAAGATATCCCATGATCCTGGATCAGAAGAATTAATGTTGTTAAAACGACTGTACTACTCAAAGCAATCTACAGATTCAATGCAATTCCCATCAAAATACCAAAGACATTCCTTATAGAAACAGTAAAAGAATTCTAAAATTCCTATGGAACCACAAAAGACCCCAAATAGTCACAGTAATACTGAGCAGAAAGAACAAATGTGGAGGCACCACACTGTTAGACTTCAAAATATACTACAAAGCTACTGTAACCAAAACAGCATAGTACTGGCATAAAAACAGTCACAGACCAATGGAACATAATAAAGAACCCAGAAATTAATCTATATATTTTCAGCCAACTGATTTTTCAACAAAGACACCAAGAACATACATTGGAGTAAGGACCCTCTCTTAAATAAATGGTGCTGGGAAAACTAGAGTCCATAAACAGAAGATGAAACTAGACCCCTATCTCTCGCCATCCACAAAAATCAACTCGAGATGGATTAAAGATTTAAAAGTAAAAATCAAATTTGAGTGAACATTCCACTCAACATGTGCTGTAATAGTTGAGCCCAGATCAGCTGCAAACAAGATCAGAACTTTCAATGGAAATTTTATGCAAGTAGAATCAAGATTCTGAAGTATTTTTTCAAATAATTGTAACAGGAGATGAAACGTGGTTTTACAGATATGATCCTGAAGACAAACTACAATCAAAGTAACAGCTACCACGAGGTAGAAAGAAGTGGTCCAAAGTTAAAGCAGACTGTTCAAGAGCAAAGGTCATGACAACAGATTTGGGGAATGCTGGAGGCATTTTCCTTGTTGACTTTCTGGAGGAGCAGTGAACGATGATAACATCTTATTACAAGAACGTTTTGAGAAAGTTAGCCAAAGCTTTAGCAGAAAAAATACCCAGGGAAAGCTTCACCAGAGAGTCCTCTTCCACCATGACAATGTTCCTGCTCCTTCTCATCAAACAGAGCAATCTCGTGAGAGTTTCAATGGGAAATTATTAAAGAGTCCTGCTTTGGCTTCTGACTTGTTTTTGTTTCCTAATCTTAAAAAAAATCTGTAAAGGCACCCATTTTTCTTCAGTTAATAATGTAAAAACGACTTCTTTGATATGGTTAAATTCCTAGGACCTTCAGTTCTTCAGGGATAGACTACATGGGTGGTATTATTGCTTACAAAAGTGTCCTGACTTTTATGTTGAGAAGTTTATATTTTATATTTTTATCTTTTAATTCTATTTTCCATGAATTGTCTTGTCTTTTCTCTTTTTTTTTTTTTTTTTTTGAGACAGAGTCTCACTCTGTAACCCAGGCTGGTGTTCAGTGGCACAATCTTGGCTCACTGCAACCTCCACCTCCCGGGTTCAAATGATTCTTGTGCCTCAGCCTCCCAAAGTAGTTGGGACTATAGTTGTATGCTACCATGCCTGACTAATTTTTGTATTTTTAGTAGAGACGGGGTTTCACCGTATTGGTCAGGCTGGTCTTGAGCTACTGGCCTCAAGTGATCTGCCTGCCTTGGCCTCCCAAAGTGCTGGGATTACAGGTGTGAGCCACGGCACCCAGCTCTCCATGAAATTTTTGAAGTTTCATCATATATGATGAGATTAGAAGAAAGAATTAAACCGTTGGTAATTATAAAGTTTAATTTGAATAGAGGAGTCATACTCAAATTAGAACTGTGCTTGCTAATATCTGACTTTGGTAATTACATTTTTTCTACCTAACTGATTTTCATAGTTTCAGCTGGGTATGGTAACCTGTTTTGTGAATATTAAGCCAGCAATTTTCATCATTTATCTCAGAAGTGGTTACATTTTAGGGTGATGGTAATTGTTCCAGAGACACTGAGTCTTTTTTTGATGTTTCTTATGGGAAAAAACAAGGGGCAACATTTTAAATAACATGCTTATCTCTTATTAAATAAGCAGCAACACAGAGAAAAACACTCCCGATGAATGGAGACATTTCTTCTCTAGATTTTCCAGCCAAAATATTGTTCACCAAGCAAAGTTTATTCTGTCTACAAGGTCCAAGTTATTCTAATCTCTAGACCTATGATCTTATCACTGGCTGAAAGCTCACAATTCCTGGTGGTTTTACTTTTTTAGAGTCAAAAGTTTTCGGTAACCTCAATTTAGTCTACCAATTAATGAAAGTAATTTGTCTATACAAATTATTTTTACATAGAACATTAATACTTGAGAAACATCTTAAGAATATTTTTATAATTAATACACTATTTTTGGAGTAATTTTAGGCTTACAGAAAATTGAGCAGCTATTAGAGATAATTCCCATATACTCCCTCTCTCCTCCAACTCAGTTTCTTCTATTATTAATATCTTGCATTCATGTGGTATTTGTTACTATTGATGAACCAATAATGATACATTGTTTTTAACTAAAGTCCATAGTTTAGGGTTCACTTTTGGTTTAACACTGTTTGATGTGTTTTGACAAATGTATAATGTCACATATCTATCATGGTAGTATCATAGCTGTATGATAAATAATTGTGTGTAAATATTTTCTGTAAATACTTAGTATTTAGTTTAACTGGTCAGAAACTGTCAAGTACTTCACCCATTCATCTTTCCTGTCTTCTTCCCAAACCCCTGACAACCACTGATCATTTTACTATCTCTACAGTTTTGCCTTTTCCAGAATGTCATATCATTGGAATTATATAGTATGTAGGCTTTTCAGGCTGTTTTCTCTCACTAAGCAATATTCATTTAAGGTTCCTCCATGTCATTTTGTGGCTTGATAGTTCAATTTTCTTTTTATTGTTGAATCATATTCCATTGTATGTGAAAGAGCCCCAGGAACTTCATCATAAAATGTGGCTCCATGGTATAATGAGTATTTTGAATTAAAGGCCCTTGGAGATCGACAGATGCTAGAAGAGCCTTTCCCTGCTATCTAAATAAAGACAGCAGGAACCCACCAAGGAGAACAATTGTTTTTCCTTCCCTTCTCTGTTATCTCATTATCTATTGCAGAAAACAAGACCAAGAATATAACCACACCTGAACAGACCCTTCACGAGACAGTATCTGTCTCTCAGGCTCATTCAGCTCTCAAAGAGAACCATTTCCAAGTTAACCTCTGTTTCGGGATCCATTTGTCCTCCCTAGTAATCGTTTATTGCTCCCAAAAGAATTACCTGTATTCCCCATATCTCTCTCTCTCTCTCCATTCTGAAATAAGGTTATGTAAGTATCTGAACCCCACTGGGATATCAGGTAATCACTCTGTAAATTCCCTTATGCACACCAATAAATTTGTATGTTATTTCTCCTATATGCCTTTTGTCAGATGATTTTTCAGCAAAATTGCAGAGGGCAAAATTTTCCGTTGACCTCTACACATGGGTGTACCATAGTTTGTTTTCCATTCATTTGGGTAAGTACCTAGGAGGGCAGCTGGTAGATCACGTGGTAAGACTGTGTTTAACATTGTAAGAAACTACCAAACTCTCTTCCAAAGCACCATTTTGCATTCCAACCAGCAAACGAATGAGAGCTCCTCTCACTCCACATCCTTGCAGATATTTGGTGTCATCACCATTTTGGATTTTTTAAATAAGTATTGATTTTTAATTGTGCTAAAATATTGAAGTAGACTTAATAAAACAGTTAAACCAATAACATAAGGTAACATTCTTGTATAAATAGCGGTCCATGGAAGACTGAAGAATAGACCGTGGCTTAAATTATTTCTAATTCCAAATATACAGATCATTGATTACAGCTTGAAAGTACGTTTGCTACTGCATGTAGACAGCAGCATTTTAATTTCACAAGACAGCAAAGTTCAAATCGAAAGAGAACTTTATGATTCAATGTTTTAGTGCTGTTGGTAAAAAAACCAAGTGAAACAAAACACCAAAGCTAAGAGTACTATATGCATCATAGTTAGACTTAAATCAAATATACGCTATTATTAATACATGCAGAGTATTTTTATATATGACTTTTTAAGGCTTTAATACAAATTGATTGGTTTAATAAAATTAAATACATCTGACCCATTCCTGTGTAAATGTATACAAATAAAACATAAATCTCTGAAAAGTAATCTGGAAAAGTTTAAGACATGTCTTACATAGTAATATTTATATTGGTTTTTGAAGTGGTAAAGTTGAGATTACTAATTTATGATAAGAATTAGTAATAACAGTAAAGAATATAATCAAGAAAACAAAGATTAGAGCTCATTTAAAAATTTTTGCTGACCATTTCTTAGTTTTTTTATTCTTCTAAGTATAAAACATTTATGAATTACAGAGTTCATTTGGTAACCCATCATAAGCCTTGTGATACCACTGTGCTAGTGCCTCATAATATAACCATTGTTTTATTTGGCTTTTAATATCTGTTGCACATCTAGAGTTTTTTAATTGGTATCTCTATAGAGGCAGGAATTTTGCAATGTGTTTCTTATTGTATTCTAATACATGTGGTAAAAGATCAATATTTTTATAGATTCACAAAGAAAAAAGATAAATTTTTTTTGGATTTTGTCAGAACTTTATTACGAAATTGATGGCAAGTAGCTTTTTAAGAATTATGGACTATATTCAGCTGCAATTAAGCAAATGGAACACAAAATACAATTTTAAGAATACAGACTGATGGAGTGCTTTATAATGATGTATCCAAATTACTCTATTTTAATGCAAAATTGCTATGCTTTAATGCTAGTGTACAACATTGCTTGAAAATAAACTAATTTTTACCTTAGATAATAAAGCATTTTAGTGATATCACAAATGATATGATCCCCTTTGGCAGAGTTAACTGCTCACTCTACGGGGCTCCCTAAGCTTTTTCCGGGTGCCTTTAGCATATATACAATACTTATTACAGCATTTTGGATTTTAGCTTTTCTAATAGGTGTGTAGTGAACTCACTGCTGTTTTAATTTGCATTTCTCTAAGGATATATGGTTTTTAGCATCTTTCATGTGCTTATTTGGCATCTAAGTATCTTCTTTGGTGAAGTGTCCATATCTCTTGTCCATTTTTTAAATGAAACTTTTTACTTACTATGTGATTTTAATAATTCTTTCTATAGTTTGTTTTTTATTATTTTCTTTCCTTTTACAAAAATATATTTTTTAATTTCTTATAGAGACAGAGTTTCGTGTTGTTGTCCAGACAGGGTCTCCAACTCCTGTCTTCAAGCAATCCTCCTGCCTAGGCCTCCCAAAGTGCTAAGATTATAGGCATGAGCCATCACACCCAGCCTCTCTGTATACTTTGGATTCAAGTTCCTTCTCAGAAAAGTCTTACAAATATTTTCTCCTAGCCTGTGGCTTGTCTTTTCATTCCCTTAACAGTGTTTTTTTTGCCAAGCAGTTTTTTAATTTTATGAAGTCTGGCATCAATTTTTTCTTACATAGATTATGTCTTTGATATTGTATTTAAAAACGTATCTTCAAACCCAATGTCTCCTTGATTTTCTCCTGTTATACTCTGGTACTTTTATAGTTTAATATTTTACTTTGGTCTATGATCCATTTCGTGTTCGTATCTGTGAAATCTGTAAGGACAATGTCTAGATTTATACCTATGCATTGGATGTCCAGTTGTTCCAGCAACATTTTTTGAAAAACTATCCTTTCTCCATTGAATTGCCTTGGCTTCTTTGCCAAAGATCAATTTGCTCTATTTGTTTGGATCCATTTCTGGGCTCTTTTCTGCTCCATTAGCCTACTCGTCTATTCCTTTGCCAATACCATATCATCTTGGTTATTATAACTTTATTGTATATCTTCAATAATAATTGTTAAATGCCCTTAATAATAGCACAAATAATCACTATTACTCTAAACTTTTACTTCTATTTCTTAGCACATACCAATTCTATTGTAAAATTCTGCTGTTCCTAACCCTCAAGACTATATTTGCTCACTTTATCTACCTTTTTTTCACCTAGAAAACTCCTACTTAATAAGACACTTCTTCCAAGAAGTCTTTTAAGTCTGTCCCATGGTGGATGAAGTGTTCCTCTCAAGGGCTTCCATGGAATTCTTTGCTTACTATACCTGTAGGAATTATTACTATTTTTTTTATATCCCTGTTACCAAGATCAGTGCTGGCACTTGGGCATTTAAACATTGGTTGAGAAAATACTAATGAGTATTTGTTTGTATATAAATATAACATAGCTGAAAACTAGGCTAAAGACAACAGTAAGCTAGGAAATTGATTTTGGAAAATGAATGATGACTAGTTGATTAAAAAGCTGGTAAAAATTAGTAAATGACTACTAAGCTTCCATGGAAAACTTCCATCTTCTGTTTGAACCAATATTTTCTTCATTGATTATTAGTGTTATTCATCTATTTATTTAATAGTTTCTTTATAATGCTGGATTCTGCACTAAATGCTAATAGAATAAAAAAATGAGTAAAATATCTGTCCTAAGCCCATCACAAATAATAATTTTTAAGAAATAATTTTAACTTTTATTTTTGATTCAGGGGGTATATGTGTAGGTTTGTTACATAGATATTATGTGATGCTGAGATTTGGGGTATGATTGATCCCATCACGCAGGTAGTAAGCATAATGCTCAATAGTTTTTCAACCCTTGCCCACATCTCTTCCTCCCCACTCTAGGAGTCACCAGTGTCTCTTAGTATCATCTTTATGTCCATGTGTACCCAATATTTAGTTTCCACTTATAAGTGAGAACAAGTGGTATTTGGTTTTCTGTTCCTGCATTAATTTGCTGAGATGGCCCCTAGCTACATCCATGTTGCTGCAAAGCACATAATTTCATTCTTTTTCATGGCTGCATAGTATTTCATGTTGTATACATACCACTTTTTTTTAATCCGATCCTCTGTTGATGGGCACCTTGGTTGACTCCGTGTTTTTGCTATTGTGAGTAACACTACAATAAACATACACGTGAATGTATCTTTTAGGTAGAATGATTCATTTTCCTTTAGATATATACCCACTAACGGAATTGCTAGGTCAAATGGTAGTTCTATTTTAGTTCTTTGAGAAATCTCCATACTGCATTCCCTTTTCTCTGCAGCCTCAACAGCATCCGTTGTTTTTCTAACTTTTTAATAATAGCCATTCTGATTGGTGTGAGTTGGTATCTCACTGTGGTTTTGATTTGCATTTCTCTGATGATTCGTGATGTTGAGCATTTTTCTTATGTCTGCTGGTCACTTGCAGGTCTTCTTTTGAGAAGTGTCTGTACATGTCTTTTGGCCACTTTTTAATGGGGCTTTTTGGTTTTTGCTTGTTGAATTAAGTCCCTTATAGGGTCTGGATATTAGACCTTTCTCTGATGCATAGTTCGCGAATATTTTCTCTCATTCTGTAGGTTGTCTGTTTACTCTGTTGATAGTTTCTTTTGCTGCCATAAGAGATAATTAAGTTGCAAAGTAATAAGTGCCAATTTAGCAATGGGAACAATGCCAGAGATATAAAAAGAAGTCTAAGATGGTGCAAGAAGATGAACTTAGAGCTTAGCATCTTCCCTTAACCAATGGTTTAAGACATGCAGAACAAAACACAATGAGTTAGGTTGCATATTTGGAGTTGGTTTGATTATAAATACTTTAAGCCTTTTACTCTATTTTTATATTAATGATTATTTAATCAAGGGATTTATTAATAGTATATGTTAAAATAAAATGCAATCAGCTTCTATATCTGTTAGTGTATTTAGCAGCTCAAGATATCATTGGGAAATAGGCTGGATGACAAACTTGCTTTCTCCACATGAAGCAGTCCAAGTGTCTTCTAAGTCTTTATGATCTAAAACCACCAAAGAGAGAACAGATACTTGAACTTGGGTTGCAGCAGGAACGATTTTTATGTGAATTTCCATTTATCCTTTCATAATGGCTTGGACATGAAATTTATTCCACCTACATGTCAAAGTTTTCATTTTCTAACACGAAATCCTACCAGAGCCTCAATGCCAAGCTGTGTTCTCTCAGCCTTTTCTATCAACACCAGATAACAATTCATCTGACAGTTTTGTGATGAACATGTTATGCAAAATTGGATACATTGCTCTGCTGTCGCTGCATTATCATCCTTGCAATTCTAACTATTAAATGCTTCTTTCATGGATTAAGGAGGCAATTATGATTAAATGCCTGGGCCACAGCTATACTTGTGATTTCTTTCTTTTCATGTAAAAGACTGACTTGATTAGTAAGTTTTAGCAGCCACGATATAATTTACTGTTATCATATAATGCACATTTGCAAGAGAACATATATTACTGAATTTGTTGTAGACTAAAATGTTATATTTTCCATTTCCTTAAATTTAATTATCCTCAGCAAGCCACATTTACCCTGATTATATTCTGGTTAAAACATCTGCACTTCTGATTGCCCATATACCTCCCTGAATTTTCACTCTGGATACCAAAGAAGGATAATACTCAGTTTAGTCTTTGACGTGGAAGCATTTACAATTTTTCTAAATACAGATTGAACAAAGAACTTATTGCTTACCTCCCTATAAAGGCAAGTTAAATCATCTTTTTTTTCCATAATAAGAGTTCTCAAAGGAACAGCACAGAGGGTCAATGTGTGGCGACAAATTGGCTGCTATCTTTTTTGGGGGGTACTAGTGGCAGGGTGTTCTCACAACCAAAAAGGCCTTAAGAATGGAATAACTTAGAAAGACCCACATATTTATAATGGTTTTCTTCCTGAGAAGAAACTTATGGAAAATTATATATTGTATGTAAATATAAGATTCAAAAAAGTCTGAAAGGTGCTAAGGATAAAAAATGCTTGCCGAGTATGGGTTTAGGCATGAAGATTTGGGCACTATCAAAGCACCAGGCTGTGGAGCTGAGGAACTTGGCTTCTGAGACTGGAACAAACTCAAAGCTCCCCCAGGACAGAAACCCTCTGATGCCACCAAGTTTACCTCCAAAAGGAAGCCCTGTGATAAGGGACCTTATCTATCTTGGTCACAGCCAGAAGCGAGAGTTTGCTCAGCTTATTAAAGCAAAAGTTTCAAAATATTAAGTTATTTCTGACTAGTTCATGGATAGCTGCTATTGTGACTCCTCCAAATGATCTCCTACTGCTCCAGCCCCTTCTTGGTACTAGAAGCTTCAGAGAGGCATCACCTGGCAGAAGGCTCATACCTGGCAGAGAAGAGCACCTCCAGGATACTGTTTGAGCACCACCACTGTCAGTTCTGACTAATGCTCTAGGGACACTGGTTGTCAAGTATCCTGGCTATCACCCTGTACCCAGTGATCTCAATAACACTCCTGCACCCAGTGTTTTGGATATCACCTCTGCACCCAGCAATCTGGATATCACCCCTGCACCCAGTGTTCTGGATATCACCCCGGCACCCAGCAATCTGGATATCACCCCTGTACCCAATGTTCTTGATATCATATCTGCATCCAGAGTTCTGGATATTACCAGTGCATAGAACAGTGTCTGACACATAGTAGCTACTCAGTAAGTTTTTCTAAATAGACTGATGAATATATAATCTATTTACTTATTTTATATTTTTTACTTACACACTTTGCAGAAGCATTACCTATTTGTTAGTTCAACCCTACACAATTGTGTTCAATAACAAAGTATCTAGCCCATTAATTCTGCACTGCTATTATCTCTACTTCCAATGCCATTAATCAAGACAATATTGAGTAAGCACATACTAAGTGGCAGAAACCCTGGGCCTTGGAAAGACCCTCCAGGAGTGAGCTGGAGATATGTTATATGCTTGGACTTCTTCCCAAGAGCACAGATGTCATAAATAATTCACAACTAGATGAGAAAAGGAGATGTCAAAGAAATTAAATGACTCATAAGTGTGCTACTATTATTCAGGCTCAATCTGACCTCTTTTTGACTTTGGTGAGAGGGTCTATTTTTTTGACCATCTAAAAGACATAAAAATAGACACCAATTATATGACAAGTTGCAAAAGCTTGAGGAGACCTCTGCATAGACATAGAATCCAAACCGAAAATAATTTATACTCATTGCCTACCTACTATGTACCTAGCACTGTGCTGAGCCATATACACACAGCATTTCAGGTAGTGCCCACCACCATCCTATAAGCAAGTACTAGTCTTCACCCCATTTTACAGATGGGATAACTAAGTTGTGGGGAGGCTAAATAATTTGTCTAATGGTACACGATTGATAAGTGCCAAAGACAAAATATAAATTCCTGTCTGTCTACCTTATAAAGATGTAAATTTAGGAGAACCAGCTTCTCTTGAATTGCAAATTTTATGCTAGAATATCTAATATTTAAATTAGAGCATTCCTTGAACTTTTGTTGGCCAGTTTAATTTTTCTTTCATCTTGTGCACACATTCGTATGGTAACATTCTCCAGTATTTTCCTTGCACCCTTTTTTCATCATGCTCTTCTCCCCAATTCCCTCATCCAGAATGGTGTGGCTTCCGTAAGTGACTAAAACCCACCCTGGCAAAATGAGCTAGGGTCTGCCCTGCTATAATTCAGACAGATCTGAATTACTTCTTGACCCTCCTCACTTCATCCACCCTGCACCTTGCCTGCCCTGTCCCCTGGTGCCCTTGACTACTAGTCTGTTTTCTATATATTGTGACTGTATACACACCTTGCCACTGAAGCTTGAGTCATAATCTATTCTATCTGTATCTCTGAAAATGATCTTTACTTCAACTTTCCTAAAGGATATAGATTTCTCTCTTCTTTGGCTCCAATAATTTGTGCCCAAACTTCAGACCAGTAATTCCCCAGATGAGCCTGCTGCTACCCTACTTGCGTCTTACTTTTGCAAGCTGTTTCCATTCTTATTAGGCTAATAACTGAAGACAGGATCAAGATATCTTTCTAACCTATCCAAAATACCTGAATATTCTGTCACATTCAACAGTAAGTCAATACAGGATTATGTATACATCTTTGTATTCTTCATATTACCCAGTCCAGCCTTCTGCACTTAATAGGTACATGAATAAGTTAATCAATAAATGAAGGAATAGTTGGTTGTTTGATGAATAGCTGGAGAAGAACTGGCATCGTGCCTAGGTAAAGTAGAATATTATTTCATAGGTACCACTTGTATTTTTTTCTTCCTACACAAAGTGTTTAAGAAATATTTGTTCATTAAGATTATTAGCATTGACCAGTAATTGATTTTGAGTCACTTATTTGGCTTACAATATTGTTTACTTATTAGCTACAATGTGTAAGACACCTACTGTACAGCAGCCAATATCTTGAGTACTTTTACAATTTTTCATTTTACAGCACAACAAAAGTTGAAGGTAAGTGTTAGTATCCATTTTTTACAGTAAAGGCAGGATAGAAGGTTCAGAGAGGTTAAGTAATTTGTAGAAGATTTCTTAGGAAATGAATAGGAGTCATGGATCCCATGTCACTCTAATTTCAAATTCTAAATTCTTTTACTCTTTCTGCTATTTTGCACTACTTCATTTTAAAAGCGGTCTTATAAAATATCCTTCTAAAATTTTTCAGGTGTTTTTCAGGAGATAAGGAACTAGCACATTGCCTTTCATTAATCCATTACAGCAGACTAGGTTGCAAGATAATCTAGCTGTTTCCTAGCAGAAGAAAAAGAATGACCTTGAATAAATGGAACCCAGCATCACTATATTTTGATGTGAGAAAAGGAAGTTGAAAAGATTCAAAGGATAGACATCTTCCCAGATTAACAGGGATGTGAGTTCATAGTTCAGGGTCCTAAGTGACTGAAGAGTAAAATGAGGAGGCTAAATGCCCAGATGAGACAGTAACAAAAGATAAAAGGAGGAACTAATCAGACAATTGGGTAAGAGGATGATAGTGAGGAATGGGTGCTGAAAACATGCTTTCCTACTTCACAAATATTTTGAGGAATAATTAAGATTTGTAGGGAGAAAAATGAATTCCCAGCTCTACCTTCTCCCCGTCTCTGGATTTGATTATAGGGATGAGGCTATTACTACAAAAAACTAAGGGTATGAGAGGATAAGAGAAGTAGAAGAGAATTCCACCCTGAAATAACATCAGCTTTTAAAAGTTACCTAATGATGGATGAGGGTATTCAAGTCAAACTACAGATTTACTTTAAAAACTAAAAGCATGCCAAGCTTGATTTAGGGAATAAAGTGGAAGCAACCATCCTTACGCATCTAAATGCAAAATTATTTGGTGGCTGCTGGTACTTTTAGATATGAGTCAATTTAGTAGATAAAACTTTGTAATAGTAATGGCAGCCAGAGGCAAAAGTTGGCACCAAGCTATGGATAAATTCTTACTTTAGGTCCATAGATCACTGTAAAGATCCATCTAAGAATGTCCAGTAGGTCTTTAGCTTGTAAAAAGTGAAGTAGAGGTTCCTCTTCAAAGAGACTCCTCCCTGTCCAATTAGGAATAAACAGTAACTTCTCTTAGAAGCAAAATTTATTCAAAGACCTATGCTAACATTCTTAGATATCTGCTAGCCATAATAGAGAATCAATGTACTTTGTGTTCTTAGCTCCCACATTTTACCCTAAATATTTGCCCTCACATGCTTATACTGGTCCAAGCAAGCATTAGGTCATAGCCTGTTCCACTTCCTTATTTGAAGGTGTTCTTACCTTTCTCAGCATTCCACAAGTTACTTCCTCCTTCCTTTGTTCTCCTCTGCCTTTGCCTCTTTTGGAAAGTTCTAAGTTGCTAGCCAATCGGGACAAATACAGAATGTAAGGTCCCGTTCCAGCCAGTGGAAACCGGACACAGCAGTAGGATGGACGTGTCAGGTTATAAATGACCCTGTCTCCTTTTTTCGTTGTACTCTCCTGGCAAAACTGCTGGTGAGTGTACCCTTTCTGCAGAAAGTAAAGTAGCCTTACTGAGAGATCCTTTGTCTCAGTGTTAATGTTTGTGACGCTGAGCACCTGTTCCCAACAAGCTGAAGTTCCACAAAATGGAGTTTTTGGCCTCTCTCCACTTAAAGAATACACTTTTAAGGTTGAACGTTTGTCTTAGGTTGTTAGAAAAGCTTAAACATGCAATTTTATCTGATATGAACTTAGGAATGTGCCCAAGAGTGCTTTCAGGAAGAGATTTTTCCATTTTTATCAAAATCTTGCTCTTCTTTTTTATTGATTAGTCTCTTGAACTATGTCTATGCATTAATACAAGTCCTTTTCATTGTAGGTAAAGGTAGCCACTCAAACCAGCTAAAACCAGATGCCCTCTGAATCCCTTTGACTATTTCTGTGTGTCTTTGTGCTTGTTTCCTTGTGCTATTGCTTCCTGTGGCCTCATCAGGGACTTTTATTTCTAAGACTTCCCTCAGGCTACTGAGCTATGCACACAGGGAACTGGAAGTGCCTGAGAGTTTGCATTCCCCCAGGGTGGTTTTAAAACAATGATTGATGGTGAAAGACAATGAAAGTCCAGTGTTCTGGCCTCAGGTCAGGAGAGCTCTGATGTTGAAGAAATTGTCCAGGGACTTTGCCTGAAATCACACCTTACTCTTCTCTCTGTAATGCTTCCTCTATTTCTTTAATAAATCACTTGCACATGAATCCTCATTGCAGAGTTAACCTCTAGGGAACCTGACCTAAGATACCAGCTCACATTAAAAAAAAGGCTGGAGTCATTTTGGTGAGGCTACTACAAGAGGCAATGACAGAGAAACAGCACAGCATACTCTTGGAAACCGGAACTCAAAAGCACTTAGGTCCTAGTGCCTCTCTTCCAACCATTCACAATCCTTCCCCTCTTCTCTTCTGCTAGGAAATATGACACATTAACCAGCAGACACAGCTACCATTTTGGCATGGTTTTCAAACATTTTTGGCCCGTAGTAATACCACAACCCAACATTCCCTCACACATGCACCTACACATAAAACATATAAACATAAAACAAATATTTGTGAAATAATACTTGCTCTCCCTACCTGTGATAAACTCCATTTTCACTGTTTTCTGTTATAATTGAGTCTATTTCATTTTTTAAAAATGCTAGCAGCAATGAACTAAATTGATTTCACGGCCTGTTCATTGGTTATAACCAGTACCTTGGGACATTAACGGTTTGCATCTAAACGCTAATATTACTAGAAGAATTGTCCCAATAAGTCACTATCATCCACGATCACCTTGTTGTGCAGCAGCTCATTATTCATGCCACAAATGTGTTTAGGGCATCTGCTCTATGCAGAACATTTTTGCTGGAAGCCAAAAGGATACAAACATAAGAAGGCATCAAACCTCACCTTTAAAAGCTCACTATTAGGAGCCATAGTCGCAAGCCAAAGAAGCCCATTTCAGCTGATTCATATCATATGAGATATATATTATATATAGTATATAGTGATCAATATGACTGTATATAGTTTTATAATTAGAGAGATATAGTAGATGTTGATGATAGAGAGAGAGTCATTTTCCCAGGACTACCGAGAGAGAGAGAACAAGGTAGAGAGTTGCACAGCCATAATCACAGTCATCATTGAACCCCAGAAGTGGAACTTTGCGGCCTCTGCTGAGCCCTCCAAGCTACAGCATATATGGCCAGCACTCCCAGCCCACCCTGGACCCCAGTCACTATCACTGACATCACTGCCATTGCTGCCTTAGAAAAGTCTATGTGGCAGCCACAGTAGACCTTCCCCAGTCCTAGATGGAGTACCCTATCATCACATCTCTGTAGCACCAGCTCTTGAATATAAATCTGAAGTGATTGTATCCGACTGTTTAAACCTGAGCCATGGGCCTTTGCGTGGTGACTAAGAGTTTAGACTCTGGGGTGAGATTCCTTGGCTTCAAATCTTGGCTTTCCAATTACTTGCTGTGTGATCATAAAAATGTTACTTTCTCTCTCTGTACTTCAGTTTCCTCAAATGTATCAATTAGATAGTAGTAGTACCTACTTCACAGGGTTGTTTAAGGATTAAATGAGTTACTACTTGTAAAGTGCTTAGAATCAACTGTTAGGGGTTGTGACAAATATCTGAATTACTGGCAGCAAATCCATATGGGTATGCAGCAACCTTAATTCTTGCCTCCTCAGAAGAAAGAACTCGACTGAGGGGCATGAGGCAGATAAAGAGACAGAGGCAAATTTCAGAGCAGGGATGGAAGTTAATTAAAATGCTTTAGAGCAGGAAAGAAAGGAAAGTTTCTGCCCGCTTGGAAGAGACCCAAATGGGCACCGTGGAGATCCAATGTGGCATTTGACCTTTTGACTTGGGGTTTTATATGTTGGCATACTTTCGGGGTCTTGTGTCCCTTTTCCCATGATTCTTTCCTTAGGGTGGGCTTCCCGCATGCATGGTGTCCTTGCACTTTGGAGGTGAGCATGCACAGTGTGTTTAAGAAGTCATATGCTAGACCAATAACATGTTCTGAAATTGAGGCAGTAATTAATAGCCTACCAACCAAAAAAAGCCCAGGACCAGATGGATTCACAGCCGAATTCTACCAGAGGTACAAAGAATAGCTGGTACCATTCTTTCTGAAACTATTCCAAACAATAGAAAAAGAGGGACTCCTCCCTAACTCATTTTATGAGGCCAGCATCATCCTGATACCAAAACCTGGCAGACACACAACAAAAAAAGAAAATTTCAGGCCAATATCCCTGCTGAACACCAATGCAAAAATCCTCAATAAAATACTGACAAACCACATCCAGCAGCACATCAAAAAGCTTATCCACCACAATCAAGTCAGCTTCCTCCCTGGGATGCAAGTCTTATTCAACACACAGAAATCAATAAATGTAATCCATCACATAAACAGAACCAATGATAAAACCACCTGATTATCTCCATAGATGCAGAAAAGGCCTTCGATAAAATCCAGCACTCCTTCATGCTAAAAACTTTCAATAAACTAAGTACTGATGGAACATATCTCAAAATAATAAGAGCTATTTATGACAAACCCACAGCCAATATCGTACTGAATGGGCAAAAGCTGGAAGCATTCCCTTTGAAAACCGGCACAAGACAGGGATGCCCTCTCTCACCACTCCTATTCAACATTGTATTGGAAGTTCTGGCCAGGGCAATCAGGCAACAAAAAGAAATAAAAGGTATTCAGTTAGGAAAAGAGGAAGTCAAATTGTCTCTGTTTGCAGATGACATGACTGTATATTTAGAAAACCCCATCATCTCAGCCCCAAAACTCCTTAGCTCATAAACAACTTAGGCAAAGTCTCAAGATACAAAATCAATATGCAAAAATCACAGGCATTCCTAGACACCAATAATAGACCAATAGAGAGCCAAATCATGAGTGAACTGCCATTCACGATTGCTACAAAATAATAAAATACCTAGGAATACAACTTACAAGGCATGTGAAGGACCTCTTCAAGGAGAACTACAAACCACTGCTCAAGGAAATAAGAGAGGACACAAACAAACAGAAAACATTCCATGCTCATGAATAGGAAGAATCAATACTGTGAAAATGGCCATACTGCCCAAAATAATTTATAGATTCAATGCTATCCCCATCAAACTACCACTGACTTTCCTCACAGAATTAGAAAAAACTACTTTAAATTTTATATGAAACCAGAAAAGCACCCGTATAGCCAAGGCAATCCTAGGCAAAAAGAACAATGCTGAAGGCATCATGCTACCTGACTTCAAACTAACTATACTACATGGCTACAGTAACCAAAACAGCATGGTACTGGTAGCAAGACAGATACATAGACCAATGGAACACAACAGAGGCCTCAGAAATAACACCACACATCTACAACCATCTGATTTTTGACAAACCTGACAAAAACAGGCAATGGGGAAAGGATTCCCTATTTAATAAATGGTGTTGGGAAAACTGGCTAGCCATATGCAGAAAGATGAAACTAGACCCCTTCCTTATACCTTATACAAACATTAACTCAAGATGGATTAAAGACTTAAATGTAAAACCTAAAACCATAAAAGCCCTAGAAGAAAACCTACGCAATTCCATTCAGGACATAGGCATGGGCAAAGACTTCGTGACTAAAACACCAAAAGCAATGGCAACAAAAGCCAAAATTGACAAATGCAATCTAATTGAACTAAAGAGCTTCTGCACAGAAAACAAAACAAAACAAAACAAAACAAAACTATCATCAGAGTGAACAGGCAACCTAAAGAATGGAAGAAAAGTTTTATAGGCCCCTCATCTGACAAAGAACTAATATCCAGAATCTACAGGGACTTAAAACAAATTGACAAGAAAAAAACAGACAACCTCATCAAAAAGTGGGTGAAGGATACGAACGGACACTTCTCAAAAGAAGACATTTATGCTGCCAAAAAACATATGAGAAAAAGATCACTGGTGATTAGAGAAATGCAAATCAAAACCACAGTGAGATACCATCTCATGCCAGTTAGAATGGCAATCATTAGCAAGTCAGGAAACAACAGATGCTGGAGAGGATGTGCATAAATAACTCTTTTACACTATTGCTGGGAGTGTAAATTAGTTCAACCATTGTGGAAGACAGCATGGCGATTCCTCAAGGATCTAGAACCAGAAATACCATTTGACCCAGTAATCCTATTACTGGGTATATACCCAAATGATTATAAATCATTCTAGTATAAAAATACCTGCACATGTATGTTTATTGCAGCACTATTAACAACAGCAAAGACTTGGAATCAACCCAAATGCCCATCAATGATAGACTGGATAAAGAAAATGTGGCACATATACACCATGGAATACTATGCAGCCATAAAAAAGGATGAGTTCATATCTTTACAGGGACATGGATGAAGCTGGAAACCATAATTCTCAGCAAACTAACCCAAGAACAGAAAACCAAACACCACATGTTCTCACTTATAAGGGGGAGCTGAACAATGAGAACACATGGACACGGGGAAGGGAACATCACACACCGGGGCCTGTCAGGGGTTGAGGGACTAGGAGAGGGATAACATTAGGAGAAATAACTAATGTAGATGACAGGTTGATGGGTGCAGCAAACCACCATGGCATGTGTATACCCATGTAACAAACCTGCACATTCTGCACATGTATCCCAGAACTTGAAGAGAGAGAAAGAAAGAAAGAAAGAAAGAAAGAAAGAAAGAAAGAAAGAAAGAAAGATCTGAACTGTCCATTATGTAGTAAAAGAACTGAATTAATTAATAAAAAGAATACCCCCCCCCCCCACACACACAAAGAAGTCATATGCATGCTCATATGAAGTTTTCTTCCCTTTTGCAGTGGAATACCCTTGGAAGGTCATACTCCATCATTTTTTCTCTTAATGTGCATGCCTGAGCCTACTCACCCAATTCCTGAGATTTTACTGGAAGCTGATTACCAATTTCAAGTGTTTTATCTGTTTGGAAAATTGCCTTTCCCTGGTGCCTGCAATCAATTATCACTTTAGTGTGACAACTTTGGACCATCAGGAAATTGTGTCTCCCTGGTGCTGGCTGTCAATTATCATTTTTATTTTTTTATTCCTTTATTTATTATGTTTTAATTTTACTTTAAAGTTTTAGGATACATGTGTAGAACCTGCAAATTTGTTACATATGTATACGTGTGTCATGGTGGTTTGCTGCACCTATCAGTCCATCATCTAGGTTTTAAGCCCTGCATGCATTAGCTATTTGTCTTAATGAAACCTGCCTCATTGTCTGAGGTGTCAGCCGAAGTTCTTAGTCTTGCAGCCAAGGAAATCAAGGACACAGACACTCCAAAGATGAGGTTAGAGCAGAAGTTTAATAAGCAAAAGGAAGAAAAATCTCTGAAGCAGTGAGGGGTCCCAGAAAGATGGGTTGCCATTTTACAGTGAAATGTAAGGGTTTTTATAGACAAGCTGGTGTGGAGGGGTGCTTCATTTACATAAGGCATGAATTTCTGAATCCCCACCCCACCCTTTCTAGTGCTTATATGGGCTTCTTAGCCTGAGTTACTCCATGTTCCTTATCTCTTCCTACTGCACATTTATAAAAAAGGCGGGGCAGAACACTACAAAGTGGATGTGCCTGGTTCAAGGTAGCTCTTCTAATTGGTACTGCTGAAAGCAGTTCCCACTGTGTGAGCCATCTTGTCTGAACATGTCCAAGAAAGGAGAGGGCTGTGCTTACTGGGGCCCACTGTATGTTTGTACATCACACAGGAGGCCCCTTTCTGTGTTAGATGTGTTAGAGCTTTCCTTCCTTATCTGTGTTTGCAGCCTGATCTCTTAGGTTGCTCTTTGCTGAAAGAGAAATGACCTCTTGGGCTGCTTTTTGTCAGAAGACAGACGCTTTTTGTTAGAAGGGAATTCTACCAAGGACCCTTGCCTTAACTATCTGCCTAGTTGATCTACCTCTCCTCTCTCCTCTCTCTCTCTCTTCTCACATTCCTCCCTCAGGAGTGGAGACCCTAACAGTTGTTAGAGGGTTTAAGCAACAACTTGTCTAGCTACTTCCTGCTGGAGATGGTCGTTGAGTGGGGAAACAGCAGCTAGCGTTCCTCCTGAAGTCGATCTAGAGGTCCTCAGGAGAATAGTGGTCCTGCCAAAGACAGGAGCCATGATCTCCAATTCAGCCATTTAGACCAAGAGCCCCCCATGACTCTGACAGTTGTCATATCTCAGAGGCCTGATCAGCTAATTTTTGGGTGGCATCCCTTACTCTCCCTGATTAGTTGACATAGAAACAGCATTCTTCCTCTCAAACAAGGTGTAGGTCACACTTTTCAGCAGTTAAGAGGTCTAGTCCCCTCATATTTTGTAGAGCAACTGCTGCCAAGGAGTCTATTTGATTTTGTATAGTATCAATGGTTCGGGCAATGTCCTTTAAACTTTTTGTAAAGTCTTTGGACAAGCCTTCATAGTAGGACAGAGAGGTTGCTAGTCCTTCAGCCCTGGTCCCTACACTTGCTATGATTCCCAGCTGATATGGTTTGGCTGTGTCCCCATTCAAATCTCAACTTGAATTGTATCCCCCAGAATTCCCACATCTTGTGGGAGGGACCCGGAGGGAGGTAGGTAATTGAATAATGGGGGTCAGTCTTTCCTGTGCTATTCTCATGACAGTGAATAAGTCTCACTAGATCTGATGGGTTTATCAGGGGTTTCCACTTTTGCTTCTTCCTCATTTTTCTCTTGCTGCCATGAGGTAAGAAGTACATTTCACCCCCTGCCATGATTCTGAGGCCTCACCAGCCATGTGGAACTGTAAGTCCAATTAAACCGCTTTTTCTTCCCAGTCTCAGGTATGTCTTTACCAGCAGTGTGAAACAGACTAATACAATTGGTAAGAAAAGATCATACATACAACATTTCAAAAGGGCTTAAACTTAATTTTGAAGGGGTATTTCTTATCCATAGTAGGACCATGGGAAGGAGAGTAGTCCAGGGGAGGTGAGTCTCTTGAGACAACTTTCTGAGGTGTCTTTTGATAATGTCATTTTTTTCTACCTTTCTTGAGGACTGGGGTCTCCAGGCACAATGGAAATGATATTGTATGCCTAGTGCCTTTGAGATCCCCTGAGTGACAGCTGCTTTAAATGAAGAGCCATTGTCACTTTGGAGGTATTTAGGGAGTCCAAAGCGGGGAATTATTTTATTGATTAATACTGTTACTACCTCAGAGGTCCTTTATGTTTGACATCGAAATGCTTCCACCCAGTTAGTGAACGTATCCACTGACACCAGGAGGTACTGAGTGCCCCTTGATTTTGGCATATGGGTGAAGTCTATTTGCCAGTCCTCCCCTGGATAACTTCCCATTCTCTGAGCTCGATGGAGAAGAAGCCATCTGTTGAGGGAGGTGTTTTTAAGGCAGATTTCACAAGCATTAACAACCTGCTTGACTGTTTTTAGTAGGTTCTCCTCTGAGAATAATCTTTGGACACATTGATAAGTTTTATTCTTCCCTAGATGAAAAGTTTGGTGAAGAGTCTTAAGGACCTTACACTGGTTGGAGGCTGGCAAATGGAGCTTGCCATCCTCTGACTGCAACCATCCTGATGGCTGGAAAGTGAATCTGCGAGAAATGGCCCATTCTGTTTCTGCAGGAGAATACTGAAGTTTATTTCCCTGATGGAGCCTTCCCAGATTAGAGGGGCTTCAAGGGTGTTGGCACTCTGAGGCTTTCGTGCTGCTGACTTGGCTGCCTGGTTGGCTAACTTATTTCCCTCAGCTATTTCATCCGATCCTTTCTGATGTCCTTTACAATGCATTACTGCTACTTCTTCTGGAAGGAAAAGTGAAGATAAAAGCCTATTAATTTCCTGATGGTATTTCATGGGAGACCCATTAGGAGTGAGAAACTGTCTCTCCTTCCAATTGGTGGCATGAGCATGGAGGATAAGAAAGACATATTTGGAGTTGGTATAAATGTTAGCTGTTTTTCCTCTGCTTAATTCAAGTGCCCTTGTGAGAGCTATCAGCTCAGCTAATTGGGCGCTTGTGCCTAGTGAAAGAGACATACTTTTAAAGATTCAGGGTGACTACTGCATACCCTGCCTTACAGACTCCCTGCTCCACAAAGAGACTCCCATCTATAAAGAGGGTCCAGTCTGGATTTTCTAGGGGAATTTCCCTGAGATCCTCCATGGCTGCATAGGTTTCTATTACAACTTTCTCACAGTCATGTTCAGGTTCCCCAGTTTCCTCTGGGAGGAAGGTGGCTGGATTGAAGTGAGAGCAAGTTTTTAGTTGGGCTGCAGATCCCTCTACTAGTAGAGTCTGGTATTTAAGGAGGTGGCTATCTGTTAGCCAAAGGCCTCCTCTAGAAGACAGCAATTCTGCCACATTATGTGGGGTATAAACAGTTAAGCTATTCTCCAGGGTTTATTTGGTGGCTTCTGGCACCAGTAGGGCCACTGCTGCAACTGCCCAGAGGCAGGCTGGCTATCCTTTAGCCACCAGGTTCAGTTCCTTACTTAGGTAACCCACTGGCTGTTGAGCTGGCTCCTAGGTCTGAGTTAAAACTCCCAGGGTCATTCCCTTTCTTTCTGACATGTAAAGACTGAATGCCTTCCCTATTGGAAGACTAAGGGTTGGTGCCCCAAGCAAAGCTTGTTTTAACTGGTTAAAGACCCTTTTTGATTCTGGATCCCAAATCAAGGTGGTTAAAGACCCTTTTTGATTCTGGATCCCAAATCAAGGAATGGGTCTTGGCTGCCTGAGTTTCCTTTATTAATTGGTATAAGGGACAGGCCATTTCCCCATTCCCAGGTATCCATAGCCTGCAAAATCCTATAATGCCCAAAAATCCTCTTAGCTGCTTTAGGGTTTTAGGGAGGGTGAAGGAACAAATGGGCTTAATTCTTTCTTCTGCCAATGCTCTGGACCCTTCAGATAACACTAAACCCGGGTACTTCACTGAGGTTTGGCAAAGCTGGGCCTTGGATTTTGAAACTTTATATCCCCTATTGGCTAAGAAATTGAGAAGGGCCTTGGTGCCTTCCAGAGAAGCTTTCTCAGTTGGAGCACAGAGAAGAATAGCATCTACATACTGTAGGACTTTACCCTGAGAATGAGAGAACTCAGAAAGGTCTTTAGACGGTGTTTGTCCATACAAGTGAGGGGTATCCCGAAACCTTTGTGGCAACATCATCCAGGTTAACTGGGCAGTCTGGCCAGAGAGATCTTGGAAGGCAAATAGGTATTGTGAGTCAGGGTGTAGTGGTATGAGAAAAAAAAAAAAGGCATCCTTTAGGTCTAGCACTGTGGGCCATTTCATTTCCTCAGGTATTTGGATTAGCAAAGTATAGGGATTAGGGACTACTGAATGAATTGGGACTATGGCCTCAATGAGGCAGAGGTCCTGAACTAGTCCCCATTCCCCATTGGGTTTCTGCATCCCTAATATTGGGGTGTTGCAGGGGCTACTGCAGTGTCTGAGGAGGCCTTTCTTCTTCAGATTATTAATAATGACCTCTGGCCCTTTTCTAGCCTCTGGCTTTAGGGGATATTTTCTTTGGTTAGGAAAAGAAGTGGGATCCTTAAGATGTATTTGGACCAGTATAGCAGTTATAGCCTGGCCAATTTTCCCCTGGCTTGCTCACACCTCTGGGTTAATATTGGTTTACACCAGTGGAAGTCAAAGAGTCTGTCCTGGGGCCATAAGGATGCTGGCTCCCATGTGAGCTAAAATGTCTCCACGTAATAAGGGAGTGGGACTTTCAGGCATGATTAAAAAGCCATGTGTAAATAGTAGGTCCCCCCAGCTACAACTAAGGGGTTGAGAAAAATATAGGGTTAGAACCTTTCCTGAGATGCCCTTCACAATCGTGCTACGGGAAGAGGGGAAGCCTGGATTGGAAAAGAACAGAGAGACCAGCTCCAGTGTCCAGAAGGAGGTCTACCCTCCTTCCTTCAATTTCCAGAATCACCCAGGGCTCCTGGGCGTAACGGCAGTTTGGGCCACTAGAGTTGAGGAATTGAGCCCTGGGACCCATCAGTTCTGCTGGAGCATTTGGGAGACCAGTTCTGGACGGAGATGTCTCTCCGTCTCTGCAGGCAGTCCGACCTCTAGTTGTCCTTGCCACAGGCTGGACAGGGTCGAGGTGGCTTCTTACTGCCAGGACAGTCCTTCTTAAAGTGCCCTGGTTTGCCACATGGATAGCAATTAGTGGATCCTGTACTTTACAGACCTCTAAAGCAGCCATCAGAGATTCCATCCTTCTCCTGTGCTTCCTCTCTTTTTCCTGGGCCTCCTCCCGATCCCTGCTGTAAAAGACCGAGGTGGCTACCCTGAGGAGGTTCTCCAGAATACTGTCTGGTCCTATTGCCTGTTTCTGTAATTTTCTTCTAATATCAGGGGCTGCCTGAGTAATAAACTTGTACTTTAGGACTAGCTGTCCTTCAACTGAGTCAGGAGACAGGGAAGTATGTTTTATTAAGGCCTCTTAGCCTTTCCATGAAAGCCAAGGGATTCTCATCTGGTCTTTGATCTGTTGTGGACAGCTTAGAGTAATTAAGAAGTTTGGCCCCAGTTTTTCATAGGCCCTCCAGTATGCACATTAAAAAGTGTTTACTCTTCCATTCATCTGTGGGGTCACTACGGTCCTAGCCAGGGTTTTCAGGGGGTATTGCTTCTCTCCCTGTTGGGAATGGTTGTTCTATAATTTCCTCCACTACCTTATCTCCATTCTTCTTTTTTGGTCTGCTATAAGAAACATGTTATTTGTCCCTGAATTTTTCTGCTGCCTGCAGAGCTGCCTGCCTCTCAGCAGCTGTTAGGGTTTGGTTTAACATAACATCTCTCCATGTGAGATCATACACCTGGGCTAGATTTTGGAAAGCCTCTATATAACTGCTGGGGTCATTAGAGAACCTACCCAGGTCTCCTTTTATTTGTCTAAGGTCTTTCAATGAGAAGGGAACCTGAACCCTACTGGCACCATGTCCACTGGGCATTTCATGCAGGGGTAAAAGCGAAACTGGGGAAGTGGGGAGTTTTGGAAGTGGTGAAACTAGAGGAGCCAACAGTGCAGTTGGAGGAGGGAGCCCTGGATAATGGGGACAAGAGGAGCTGAGACACTTAATAGTTGTCTCAGGATTCCCCAGAAATTTGTTTTCTTAGCTTTGGGGTATCATTCCCCATGCATGTTCCAGATATGGCTGCTAAAAGAGCTGGGTCGATTGTGCATCGCTTGCAGAGGTCTGTGTTGTCCCACAGGGCAAAGAAAGCCTGTACATAGGGACTTCAGACCATTTGCCCTTCCATCTACAGAAAAGATCTAATTGTTGGATAATATTAAAATCAAGACTTCCCTTAGAAGGTCAGGTTTGTCTGTCCCCAAGCTGGTAAGGCCGCCCCCTTGTGCAAAATAATGTAAGCCACTTTTTCTTCAGAGTCTTGGGGTCAAAGGACTTCCAGTGCTTCAGAATGCACTCGAGAGGAGTGCAGGCTGAAGATGGTTTGTTACCCATCTAGAAAGAGAGGGGGAAGAAAAGACGTCCCTTAGTCTTCTCCCTCCTTTTGGAGTAACCCAGGTGTAGAGGAAGACAGTGGGGGCTTCCCCACTACTATTCTCCTTCCTTTGTTCCCTGAGCCCTGGCATCCATTAAAGGTGCTGCTCCTGGGTGCAAGTGTGACTATTTCTGCCTGACCCACTCCTCTAGGTCCTCCATCCATGGACCCGGAGGAGTGGGTCAGGCAGGAATAGTCACGTTCACCTGTGTGAGACCCTAGTCCTCCGCTAATTCCCCTTTGATTCCTTAGATTTGTATGGCCAGCGTGTCTCCCCTATAGATGGATCTCGGGAGAGACTATGTAATAGTTGCATCTGGGCCAGGCCCCTCAGTGAAGGCAGTATTCTGAATTGGGCCCTATATTCTGCTATTATGGTCTGATAACTGCCAAACCATCACCTGATGGTCACCTGACATTCCTGGTGTGTGGTGGGGGAGCCCTCTCCTGCGCCACTGAGGCCTGACTAGCTACCTACTCTAACACAATAGCTATTACTATGAAGAATTGAAACAGGAAATATCTTGAGCTTTCAAATTTTTTCATGAGGGATGAGCTCAGCATCCAATCAAGACTCAAAATGGGAAAATTTCCAAACCACATGATAAGCAATCCAAAAAAGAATGACCAGTGTCCATTATCTAAGCTAGCAGAAAGGGTGAAAGGATGGGTGGCATGATAAATTCTTGCCCTCTGAGATAAGCGCTCTGTGGAAATGGGACATGGTGTGAAAGGAAAGGAAAATCTTGGGAGCCCAAACCCACTATTCCTAAGGGAAAGTTAAGCTTGAGAACTAAGTGATGCAAAAACTACCTTCCTTTTGTTCCCAAACAGATAGCTGTAATTTCACATTGTGATTGTATCCTATGTAAAAATATAGATTTACTGAGCACAAGATGAATGCACAGTTCACTTTTCCCCTCCCTCCATCTTTCACATGTAAAATGTAGGTTCATAAGCTCTAATCAAGGCCTCACAAGAGTAACTACCCTGCCCACTTTTTTCCCTTTCCTCCTTTCCTTCCTATTTGCTTCTTTCCTTTTAAATATTTAAGCCCTCAAAAACCTCTTTGGGAAAGGCAGAGGCCACAGATCCTACTGTAACTTGTGTTTCTTTTTCCCAGGTGCATCCTCAACCTTGGCAATACAAACTTCTAAATCAATTGAGATCCACCTCACTCTCTTTTTGGTTTACAATAGGATGGACTGTGAAAAAGTCTGGGGCTTCATAGGCCCCGGACTGGAAAA